>NC_000006.12:123555638-123858668 GCF_000001405.40 Homo sapiens
ATAATTTATAGTCCTAAAACCATGTTCCAAAAATAGATTTTCCACACAGAAGCATTTTAAGAGAGGCTCATTTTTTGAGATCCTCTTTTTATATTCACTTATATTGATCCTTTAAAATTATTTATGCTAAAATAATAATTGGGGAAGAACTGACTAACTGATAGCAATTTGAGAGGAACAAAGGTAAAAATAATAATGAAATGCAGAGGTGGAGGCCAATGAAAATTGAATCCAGCTACTGTGCTATAATCTTTGCATTTGATAATTTTGTTTACAGTATAAAAGAGTATTTCAAGGATCCTCACATGGACAGAAATGTGGAATAAAAGCTATGCTGTAAAATTTTCTTGAAACTAAATATGTAGGATAAAATAAATTTTTATTTAACACTTTAGCAGGATATACAAATATTGAATAATTAGATTTCAGACTGAGTAATCAGATTGTAAAATAAATCATGAGATGCTTCTATAGAGCACCTTTCAGATGCTTTTGTAAAGAGAAGAGTATGAGGAAACCACATTTTCATATATTTAAATGCCTTACTTTACAAATGAGTGAATACTTTGCTATTGCCATACTTAGGAATAAATGTTCTATTTTAAAAATAGAACATTTAAATAGTTGTATACAATCACTTGAACAATAAATCAAAATTATATAAGTGATTTAACTTCAAAACTAAGTGTCTGAATAGATTTTCATTCAATGAGATTTTTAACATAGAGACCATATACATAGGTTGAAATTTTCTGGAGTCTCTTATCTTTAGCTCAATGAACACTCCTCAAAGCATGATGACATTAAAAGTTGGGTTAATAAAATTCCCATGGTGCTTCTAATATTAACTTCACTTGGAGGATTGATTTTACAAAAATTCTAATTGCAATATAATTTTTTCCTGTTCTTTTTTCCTGTTCAGTCTCTCTTTCTCTATTTCCTCCTCTTTCTCTTCTTCCTCCTCCTCCTTCTTCTTCCTCTTCCTCCTATTCCTCTTCCTCTTCTTCTTCTTCCTCTTCCTCTTCTTCTTCTTTTCTCTCTCACTGTCTCTAAATCTCACTCACTCTCTCTCCTTATGACTTCTGGATAATACCAATATTAGACTAAAATGACCAGTCTGTCCCTCTCCTCTAGAGAGTTCTATGGTCTAAATGTCTACGCCCTCACAAAATTCATATGTTGACATCCAAATCCCAAAGCGATAGTGTCAGGCCTCTGAGCCAAGCTAAGCCATCATATCCCCTGTGACCTGCATGTACACATCCAGATGGCCAGTTCCCACCTTAACTGATGACATTCCACCACAAAAGAAGTGAAAGTGGCCGGTCCCTGCCTTAACTGATGACATTACCTTGTGAAATTCCTTCTCCTGGCTCATCCTAGCTCAAAAGCTCCCCCACTGAGCACCTTGTGACCCCCCCACCCCTGCCCGCCAGAGAATAACCCCCCTTTGACTGTAATTTTCCTTTACCTACCCAAATCTTATAAAACGGCCGCACCCCATCTCCCTTCACTGACTCTCTTTTCAGACTCAGCCCGCCTGCACCCAGGTGAAATAAACAGCCTTGTTGCTCACTCAAAGCCTGTTTGGTGGTCTCTTCACACAGACATGAGTGAAATGTGAAATTTGGTGCCGTGACTCGGATCGGGGGACCTCCCTTGGGAGATCAATCTTCTGTCCTCCTACTCTTTGCTCTGTGACAAAGATCCACCTGCAACCTCTGGTCCTCAGACTAACCAGCCCAAGGAACACCTCACCAATTTTAAATCGGGTAAGCAGCCTCTTTCTACTCTCTTCTCCAACCTCTCTCACTATCCTTCAACCTCTTTCTCCTTTCAATCTTGGCGCCACACTTCAATCTCTCCCTTCTCTTAATTTCAGTTCCTTTCCTTTTCTGGTAGAGACAAAGGAGACGCATTTTATCCATGAACCCAAAACTCCGGAGCCGGTCACGGACTCGGGAAAACAGTCTTCCCTTGGTGTTTAATCACGCGGGGACAACTGCCTGATTATTCACCCACGTTTCAGAGGTGTGTGACCACGTGGGAACGCCTGTCTTGGTCCTTCACCCTTAGCAGCAAGCACCGCTTTTCTGGGGGGCAAGCACCTCCAACCCCTTCCCTCCATGTCTCTACCCCTTCTCCACTTTCCTGGGGGGCAAGCACCCCCCCCACCCCTTCTCTCCATGTCTCTACCCTCTCTTTTCTCTGGACTTAGCTCCTTCACTATGGACAACCTTCCACCCTCCATTCCTCCCTCTTCTCCCTTAGCCTGTGTTCTCAAAGACCTCTTCAACTCACACCTGACCTAAAATCTAAATGCCTTATTTTCTTCTGTACTGCCACTTGACCCCAATACAAACTGGACAGTGGTTCCAAATAGCCAGAAAACAGCACTTTCGACTTTTCCACCCTACAAGACCTAAAAAATTCTTGTCCTAAAATGGGCAAACGGTCTGAGGTGCCTGACGTCCAGGCATTCTTTTACACATCGGTCCCTCCCTAGTCTCTGTTCCCAATGCAGCTTGTCCCAAACTTCCTTCTTTCCCTCCCGCCTGTCCCCTCAGTCCCAACCCCAAGCATCACTGAGTCTTTCCTCTTTCCAATCTTCCTTTTCTACAGACCCAATGACCTCTCCCCTCCTCCCCAGGCTGCTCATCGCCAGGCTGAGCTAGGTCTCAATTCTTCCTCAGCCTCCACTCCCGCACCCTATAATCCTTTTATCACCTCCCCTCCTCACACCCGGTCCGGCTTACAGTTGCATTCTGTGACTAGCCCTCCCCCACCTGCCCAGCAATTTCCTCTTAAAAAGGTGGCTGGAGCTAAAAGCATAGTCAAGGTTAATGCTCCTTTTTCTTTATCCCAAATCAGTCAGCATTTACACTCTTTTTCATCAAATATGAAAAACCCAGCCCAGTTCATGGCTTGTTTGGCAGCAACCTTGAGATGCTTTACAGCCCTATACCCTAAAATGTCAAAAGGCCATCTTATTCTCAATATACATTTTATTACCCAATCTGCTCCCGACATTAAATAAGACTCCAAAAATTAAATTCCAGCCCTCAAACCCCACAACAGGACTTAATTAACCTCACCTTCAAGGTGTACAATGATAGAGTAGAGGCAGCCAAGTAGCAATGTATTTCTGAGTTGCAATTCCTTGCCTCCACTGTGAGACAAACCCCAGCCACATCTCCAGCACACAAGAACTCCAAACGCCTGAACTGCAGCTGCCAGGGATTCCTCCAGAACCTCCTCCCCCAGGACCTTGCCACAAGTGCCGGAAATCCGGCCACTGGGCCAACAAATGCCCATAGCCCAGGATTCCTCCTAAGCAGTGTGCCATCTGTGCAGGACCCCACTGGAAATCGGACTCACCCGGCAGCCACTCCCAGAGCCCCTGGAACTCTGGCCCAAGGCTCTCTGACTGACTCCTTCCCAGATCTTCTTGGCTTAGCGGCTGAAGACTGACACTGCCCGATCACCTCAAAAGGCTCCTGGACCATCACAGATGCTTTGGGTAACTCTCACAGTGGAGGGTGAGTCTGTCCCCTTCTTAATCAAAATGAAAGCCACCCACTCCACATTACCTTCTTTTCAAGGGCCTGTTTCCCTTGCCTCCATAACTGTTGTGGGTATTGATGGCCAGGCTTCTAAACCTCTTAAAACTCCCCAGCTCTGGTGCCAAATTAGACAATACTCTTTTAAGCACTCCTTTTAATTATCCCCACCTGCCCAGTTCCCTATTAGGCCGAGACACTTTAACTAAATTATCTGCTTCCCTGACTATTCCTGGATTACAGCTACATCTCATTGCTGCCCTTCTTCCCAATCCAAAGCCTCCTTTGCGTGCTCCTCTTGTATTCCCCCCACTTAACCCACAAGAATAAGATACCTCTACTCCCTCCTTGGCAACCGATCATGCACCCCTTACCATCTCATTAAAACCTAATCACCCTTACCCCAATCAATGCCAATATCCCATCCCACAGCATGCTTTGAAAGGATTAAAGCCTGTTATCTCTCGCCTGCTACAGCATGGCTTTTAAAGCCTATAAACTCTCCTTACAATTCCCCCGTTTTACCTGTCCTAAAACCAGACAAGCCTTACAAGTTAGTTCAGGATCTGCGCCTTATCAACCAAATTGTTTTGCCTATCCACCCTGTGGTTCCAAACCCATATACTCTCCTATCCTCAATACCTCCCTCCACAATCCATTATTCTGTTCTGGATCTCAAACATGCTTTCTTTACTATTCCTTTGCACCCTTCATCCCAGCCTCTCTGCTTTCCCTTAGACTGACCCTGACACCCATCAGGCTCAGCGAATTACCTGGGCTGTACTGCCACAAGGCTTCACAGACAGACCCCATGACTTCAGTCTAGTCAGAATTCTTACACAAGAGCCAGGACTGCACCCTGTAGCCTTTCTGTCCAAACAACTTGACCTTACTGTTTTAGCCTAGCCCTTATGTCTGCGTGCGGCGGCTGCCGCTGCTTAAATACTTTTAGAGACCCTCAAAATCACAAACTATGCTCAACTCACTCTCTACAGTTCTCATAACTTCCAAAATCTATTTTCTTTCTCACACCGGACGCATATACTTTCTGCCCCCTCCACTACCTCTCAGCAAGCCAAACTCATTGCCTTAACTCGGGCCCTCACTCTTACAAAGGGGCTACACATCAATATTTATACTGACTCTAAATATGCCTTCCATATCCTGCACCACCAAGCTGTTTTATAGGTGAAAGAAATTTCCTCACTATGCAAGGGTCCTCCATCATTAATGCCTCTTTAATAAAAATGCTTCTCAAAGCCACTTTACTTCCAAAGGAAGCTGGAGTCATTCACTGCAAAGGCCATCAAAAGGCATCAGATCCCATCACTCAGGACAACGCTTATCCTGATAAGGTAGCTAAAAAAGCAGCCATCAAAAGGGCTCAGATCCCATCGCTCAGGACAATGCTTATGCTGATAAGGTAATTAAAAAAGCAGCTAGCATTCCAACTTCTATCCCTCGTGCAGATTTTCTCCTTCTCATCTGGCCACTCTCACCCACTCCCTCACTGAAACTTCCATCTATCAATCTCTTCCCACACAAGGCAAATGGTTCTTGGACCAAAGAAAATATCCCCTTCCAGCCTCACAGGCCCATTCTATTCTGTCATCATTTCATAACCTCTTCCATGTAGGTTACAAGCCACTAGTCCGCCTTTTAGAACCTCTCATTTCCTTTCCATCGTGGAAATCTATCCTCAAGGAAATAACTTCTCAGTGTTCCATCTGCTATTCTACTACTCCTCAGGGATTGTTCAGGCCTCCTCCCTTTCCTACACATCAAGCTCAGGGATTTGCCCCTGCCCAGGACTGGCAAATTGACTTTACTCACATGCCCCGAGTCAGAAAACTAAAATAACTCTTGGTCTAGGTAGACACTTTCACTGGATGGGTAGAGGCCTTTCCCACAGGGTCTGAGAAGGCCACTGTGGTCATTTCTTCCCTTCTGTGAGACATAATTCCTCGGTTTGGCCTTCCCATATCTATACAGTCCGATAGTGGACTGGTCTTTATTAGCCAAATCACCCAAGCAGTTTTTCAGGCTCTTGGTATTCAGTGAAACATTTATATACCTTACAATCCTCAATCTTCAGGAATGGTAGAACGGACTAATGGTCTTTTAAAAACACACCTCACCAAGCTCAGCCACCAACTTAAAAAGGACTGGACAATACTTTTACCACTTGCCCTTCTCAGCATTCAGGCGGGTCTGTCCTCGGAATGCTACAGGGTACAGCCCATTTGAGCTCCTGCATGGACACTCCTTTTTATTAGGCCCCAGTCTCATTCCAGACACCAGCCCAACTTGAACTGCACCCCAAAAACTTGGATAGAGCCTAAAAGCTCACCAACCAAGCAAGTAATTATGCTCAACCCCCTTGAGCACTCTCTAATTGGATGTCCTGGGTCCTCCCAATTTTCAGTCCTTTAATACCTGTTTTTCTCCTTCTCTTATTCCATTTAGTTTTTCAATTCATACAAAACCGTATCCAGGCCATCACCAATAATTCTATATGACAAATGTTTCTTCTAACAACCCCACAATATCACCCCTTACCACAGGATCTTCCTTCAGCTTAATCTCTCCCACTCTAGGTTCCCATGCCGCCCCAATCCCTCTCGAAGCAGCCCTGTGAAACATCGCTCATTATCTTTCCATACCACCCCCCAAAAAATTTTCGTCGCCCCAACACTTTACCACTATGTTATTTTTCTTATTAATATAAGAAGACAGGAATGTCAGACCTCTGAGCCCAAGCTAAGCCATCATATCCCCTGTGACCTGCATGTACACATCCAGATAGCCAGTTCCTGCCTTAACTGATGACATTCCACCACAAAAGAAGTGAAAATGTCCGGTCCCTGCCTTAACTGATGACATTACCTTGTGAAATTCCTTCTCCTGGCTCATCCTGGCTCAAAAGCTCCCCCACTGAGCACCTCGTGACCCCTGCCCCTGCCCGCCAGAGAATAACCCCCCTTTGACTGTAATTTTCCTTTACCTACCCGAATCTTATAAAATGGCCGCATCCCTATCTCCCTTCGCTGACTCTCTTTTCAGACTCAGCCCGCCTGCACCCAGGTGAAATAAACAGCCTTGTTGCTCACACAAAGCATGTTTGGTGGTCTCTTCACATGGACATGAGTAAAATGTGAAAGATAGTATTTGGAGTTGTGGCCTTTGGAGGCAATTAGGTCCTGAGGGCAGAGCCCTCACAAACAGAATTAGTGCCCTTATAAAAGAGGCCTAAGAGAGTTCACCCCTTCCATGATGTGAGAACACAGCAAGAAGCCTATGAGCTACAGAGTAGGTTCTCACAGATACCAAAACTGCTGGCAACTTGATCTGGAATTTCCCAGCCTCCAGAATTGTGAGAAATAATGTCTGTTTATAAGCTATCCAGTTTATGGTATTTTGTTATATCAGCCAAAAGAGACTAAGAGAGTGAGACACATGCAAAAAATAAAATAAAATAAAGGGTAGGATGCAAAACTCCTGAAGTACATTGGATTCTAAAAGATAAAATCCATTTGATTTGCAATTTTGAAAAAATAAAATACTTGCATCTGCAAGTATTGTTGGATATTTAGATGCTTTTAAACCAAAGGAAAAACTAGGATCCTGATTTAAAAGCACTTTTGGTGAGCTAATTGTTTTATTGACTGCAGAAGGAAATGACTGTCACTTTGCTAATCTACATTTGAATAGTCATATTGTAGCTCCAATCCTTGCTTTTCAATATCTGAGGCATGGGCATTTTCCCTCTGCTTTAAAAAACTTTCTCAACTGAAATTTTTCCACACTCATCTTTACTATTAACTTACTTCAGTAGTTTAGAAATGTGCACTTGTGTGGGACCTAATGAAATTAAACACAAACATCCCTACTTACAATTATGTGGTTATTTCAGTATATAATTGTTTATGGCAATGTAAAACTAAGTTTACTGATACTCAACTATTACTTCTTGAGGCAAAAGGAACATTACTGAATGCAAATAGATGTATATTTCACCTCTCTTACTCAATATGACCCTAATCAACCAATTCTTTACCAGCAAAATTGTGCGACAGATGTTTAAACCTGGAATACTTCCAGCTAACTGGAGCTAGACCTATGTCAAATAACGGGCACTTTATATTTCAAAGCAAAATAAAAAACTACTTCTGGCTTCTTTTATCCCTGTCAAGTATCCAGATGAAAATTAGGGCATCATATTGTACTTTTATTAATAAATATGTATAAAAGGTGTGACTATTGAATTTGCTTTTCTCTTCTTAAAAAAAGCCCATGTTAAATATAAACAAGATTTGAATCTATGCGTATAATAAGAAATGGGAACACATGGTTTTTTGTAGGTTTATAGATTTCCATAAATTTGTTTCCAAGCTACGATTCAACAGAAATAATTTTCTGGTGGCATAAAAGTCAAAATATTATACTACTCCAGTTGGATGATTTACTTGGATCACCATATTATAAATTTAACAGATTAGTGGAGAAGAGATAATACAGCAATTAACATATTCTGACTAATTATTTAATACATATTTGTTTAATGAAGTTGAGGTTTAGTTTTGGAAGCTTTACTTTTTTGTTTGTTTTTGTTTTTGTTTTTGTTTTTAAGATAGGGTCTCACTCTGTCACCCAGGCTGGAGTGCAGTGGCGCAAGCTCAACTCAGTACAACATCCGCCTGCTGGGCTCAAGTGATTCTCCCACCTCAGGCTCTTGCCTTTATTAAAACAACAATAAAAACAATATCCGGTTTTACCACAATTTCAAAAGAGAATTTTAAGACTAAAAATGTAGGAACAATATAATCTAAGAATTAAGAACACTTCTTAAAAATGAATACTTTTTTTCTTTATCTTTTTCCTCATTTCATGAAGAATTGATACACTTTTTATTAGAGTCTGGGAAATATTGAATTATAGAACTCTTTGCTTCCTTCAGGTACTCATAGACAGACTGAAGTTGGGTAGTAAAATGCATCTTTTTAGGTGTAATGACCAAGAGGACCAAATAGGCCTGGGGTAGTGAGCAGAAAATATGGAATTTGAGATAAGACTTGAATCAGAGTAAGAAACACACAAAATGTGCTCCTTGAAAACTCAGTACACATGAGAGTTGATAGAGTCCTAAATGTTGCATTTAGTGTTTCAGTCTTCCATGTTTCCTAAAAAGTAATAACATATTCGTGTGTGTGTGTGTATATGAGTGTAAAATTAAATGTTAAATTTGTACTTTCTGACTGACTTTGGGCCTTCCCTAAATGATTTTACTCTGCTAAATTCATAGCCTGACAAACCGTGCACCTGCTTAACTGGGCTAAGCGCCAAGAAAAGAAAAAAAGTCAGGAAAATTAATTTCCAAGAGCAGCAGATAAATGGCACACCTCATTAGAAAATCTATTTAAAAGGCACATCAGGAGATGTCTGCAAGACTTTTCATAAGAAATTGATGCTTCCTACTATTATGTCTTTGCTGGCTCTCTTCTCAGATTACAGATCTTACTTCCTGGTAATAAGATTCAAATTCAAGTTACATTTAATGAGTCCCTCCTATGTGCCAGGCATGTAGGTTTTACATAGATTATTGTATTTAATTCTTACAAAATTGGTTTGAAATAAGTATATTTTGTGGAATGCTTGCAAAAATTACCAAGTGTGCTTTGAGACACGCTGGTACAACCATGTAATGATGTTTTCCTCTAATGGATGAGGATGCTAATGAATGATGATCCTTGTTCTTAGGAAGGAAAAGAGTTACCACATTCTATTGCTGTACATTCTGACCTAGAAGAAAATCATCAACATCCACTAATGCCTTAGTTTGTAGTCATTTCTTTATAAATCCTATTTGTTTGCACTTCTGATTGTTTAGCGAGAAAGTTGTCACTTCATAAATAAAGCAAAAGAAATTTGTAAGAAATTTCAACCAAAGCCTACAAATTCTGGCCCCAAAAGATCAGAATACATAATCAAGGCACCCCTTCATTTTCTGAGAGGGAGGTCTTTCTGGCTGAGTCTGCAGAAGCTTGAAGGGAAGATCTCCGGCAGCCTTTCTAAGCCTCTAGCCTCAATTACTAAGAGAGCAACGTTTCTCTGTCCTCCCATCCCCCACTTAGGGTTTCCAAAATCATTCTTCTTTGAGGAGAGAACTAAAGTCAATGTGGATAACAGAGCGATCATACACCTTGGTTTGTGTCTGATGTCCTGAGGTAAATCTTAATTGCTCCCCATTTCACTCTCACAAGTATCCTGTTTCAGCTGTTAGATGATATTGTTGTCCTATATGAAGACTTTGCACACTGTCAAAGCACTAAGCTGGAACTGTCTTCCCAGAAATCCCTTATATGTATGTTTTCAGGTAACAGTTGGAAACAAGACATTTTTGCAAGTTTTGGAAGGCACGAATGTGGCAATAATGAAGCCATTATTTATTGTCTGAAGGTTGGTGTAGGGCAGGTGCTTTTGCAGCTCACGCTCATGATCCCAGAGAGTCTAGCTGCCCTTGTTGTGTGGCAACAGCCGCCACATCTCCAGCGCACACTGGGCTGGCTTCTTCAGCGTCTCCAAATCCTGGCCAGGTGCGCGTGCAGTTCCGTGGGGGAAAGGCGTCAATTTATCCTGCAGCTCATCCGCATAATTGTAATTTGTGGTGGTGAGAGACAAACAAGTCTTCCACTTTGTTCTTGTCAGTTTCAGTTTGTCCCAAGTCCCTCCCATTCTATCCATCTTCCCTTCCCAATTTCCACCCTGACTACTTTCCACTCAACACCAGATGCATTGCAACAGCCTTACATAGATTAATCAGCTACCATGAATTCATAAACGATATAATAAACCCTTATTCTATGTAATTCAGAGTTGCTTTCAGCTATTGTGTCAAACATTGACAGATAGGCATAGTATTGTTTGAATATTATTTGGATGTTACATTAAGTAAGAAGTGTGGTGTAGGTGAAATATCTTTTCCAGTCTGTTTATTTGGTGCCTTAAAATTTGTCTCATTTGATAAGAAGAATCAAAGTCAAAAATTTTGCAGAATAGAAAGCAAGATGTTATCCCCATTTCACAGACAAGAAAAGATAAGTTCCTAGTCATGTTAGCTTGTAGGTTCATAGAGCTGAATAACGAACCCAAATCATCTAAATGAACCACAAATAAAAGCCAATTCTGCATGTCCCCAACTAGTAGCAAATATATGCATAAATCAGACAGAATTCTGAAAATAGGGGGAATTGTAAAGGTTGCCCAGAAGAGAATTATTCTT
Source organism: Homo sapiens (assembly GCF_000001405.40). Classification (NCBI taxonomy): domain Eukaryota; kingdom Metazoa; phylum Chordata; class Mammalia; order Primates; family Hominidae; genus Homo; species Homo sapiens. Next base: position 123,566,478 of record NC_000006.12, read on the forward strand.
CTCAATCCAGTACAGTATGAGCTTATAAAAACAGATTTTCATTTCTCTATGAACAACCTTTTCATGGCTTCACGGCATTTACCTACTTTTCTAAACTTCCAGAGAGTAACTGACAGTTGCCCTGACTTTCTGGCCTTCCAAATCATTTCCAGTTTATTTCTTTTACCACTAGCCTTGTTTTGTAAATACTAACAATTATATATTTCAAAGATTATCACATGGTACAAAAGATTCATCATGATAATACTAATCCCTAGCAAAAGTTTGAATTGTGTCTATCAAAATTAACATTAAATATGTGAGTATAATTTACATTTTGAAACTGTTATTGAAGCCATAATTTATATAGTTCTTTCATTTTTATAATACACATATTTCAAGAATTGCATATAAATCAAATATTTGTAAAGTTAACAATGTACAAGTGTACTACAGAAATTATCATTGAAAGGAATTTGTTCTTATTTTATAAAATGCACAGCTACCTATAATTAGATTTTTAGATTAGATTACTTAAAATAAGGCATACTTATAGTTCACAGTAGAGCTTCCATTGGAGAGCTGCAATTAATTTCTATGGGCAATGCCTATGTTACTGGCATTTCATCTGATAGGGAAATACTTCAGTCAATGCAAGCTCAAGGGAAATGAAATTTTGTAGAGTAAGGTAACCAAGTGTCTTTTACTTAAAACTCTAGGTCATAATTTACATTATAGACATTACAACTGTGTATATTTTAAAAGCCTCTATTATACAATAAACTATGTATTGCCTATTTACATTAGACATTTATGACTCTGGATAAATAGCCCTTTTGCTTTCTTTGATATCACGGGACTTTTCTCTACTTGTTAGATGAGAATCTAACTCATTGGTAGTCCAGCTACCAATGGTATGCTGGCAGAGTCAACTCAATCACACCTTGTATTAGGTTGTTCCGGCATTGCTATAAAGAAATACCTGAGACTGGGTCATTTATAAAGAAAAGAAGTTCATTTGGCTCACACTTCTGCAGTCTGTACAGAAGCATGGTGCTGGCATCTACTCAGCTTCTGGTAAGGCTTCAGGGTGTTTACAATCATGGTGGAAGTTGAAGGGAAGGGGTAGCAGGCAGGTCACATGGATGGATGGCTAGAGGAGGAGCAAGAGAGAGAGTGGGGGGCGGGGGAGGTGCCACACACTTAAAAAATCATATCTCACAAGATCTCATTCACTATTGTGAGGAAAGTACCAAGGGAATTGGCTAAACCATTCTTCAAAAATCCATCTCTATTAAACAATAATCTTCCAAGAGGCCCCACGTCGAACACTGGGGATTACAATTTGACATGAGATTATATGGGACACATATCCAAACTATATAATTTTATCTCTGGCCCCTCAAATCTCATTTTCTTCTCTCACTGCAAAATACAATCATCCCCGACCAATAGTCTCCCAAAGCCTTAACTCATTCTAGCATTAACTCCAAAGTCCAAAGTCCACAGTCTCATCTGGAAATAAATTCCTTCCACCTATGAGCCTGTAAAATCAAAAGAAGTTATTTACTTCCAAGACACAATGAGGGTATAGGCATTGGGTAAACATTACTGTTCCAAAAGGGAGAAATCAGCCAAAGGAAAGGAGCTAAGGCCCCATGTAAGTTGAAAACCCCACAGGGCAGTCATTAAATCTTAAGGTTCCAAAATAATCTTTCACTCTGTGTCCCATAACCTGGGAACACTGATATGAGGGGTGGGGTCCCAAGGAATTGGGCAGCTCTACCGTTGTGGTTTTGCAGGGTTCAGCCCTGGAGGCTGCTCTCACACATTGTTGAGTGCCTGCAGCTTTTCTAGGTGCAGGGTGGAAGCTGCCAGTGGATCTATCATTTTGGGGTCTGGAGGACAGTGGCCTCCTTCCCACAGCTCCACTAGGCAATGCCCCAGTGAGGAATCTGTGTGGGTGGGTCCTCCAAACACACATTTCCCCTCTGCACTGCCCTAATAGAGGTTCTCTGTTTGGGCTCTGCCACTGCAACAAGCTTCTGCCTGGGCACCCAGAATTTCCCATACATTCTCTGAAATCTAGGTGGAGGCTGCCAAGCCTCTTTAACTCTTGCACTCTGCATGGCTGCAGGCTTAACATCACATGAAAGGCACCAAGGCTTATGGCTTGTGCCCTCTGGAGTGGGAGCCTGATCTGCACCTGTGGCCTTTTAAGCCACAGCTGGACCCAGAGCAGCCAAAATATAGGCAGCACTCTTCTGAGGCTGGCCAGGGCAGTGGGGCCCTGAGCCTGACCCAGGAAACCCTTCTTAACTCCTAGACATCTGGGCCTATGATGGGAAAGACTGTTGCAAGGGTCTCTGAAATGCCTTCAAGACCTTTTTCCCATTTTCTTGGCTATCAGCACGTAGCTTCTTTTTAGTTACGCAAATTTCTCTAGCAAGTGGTTTCTCCACAGCCTGCTTGAATTCCTCTCTCAAAAAAGCTGTTTCTTTCTTTGTCACATGGCTAGGCTGCAAATTTTCCAAATTTTTATACTCTGCATCCCCTTTAAAGATAAGTTCCACTTTAAGTCATTTTTTTGTTCCCACATCTTTGAATAGGTTGGTAGAGGCAGCCAGGCTACATCTTGAATGTTTTACTGCTTAGATATTTCTTCCAGCAGATACACTACATCATTACTCTCAGGTCCGTACTTCTACAGATCCCTAGGGCATGAAAAGAATGCAGCCAAGATCTTTGCTAAGGCATAACATGCATCACCTTTGATCCAGTCTCCAATACATTCCTCATTTCCATCTGAGACCTCATCAGCTTGGACTTCACTGTTCATATCAGTATCAGCATTTTGGTCTCAACCATTTAACCAGTCACTAAGAAGTTTCAATCTTTCCTTCCTCTTCCTATCTTCTTCTGAGCAATCCAAACTCTTTGAACTTCTGCCCATTACCCAGTTCCCAAGTTGCTTCCACATTTTCTGGTATCCTTATAGCAATACCCCACTACTGGTGCCAATTTTCTGTATTAAGCTCTTGCATTGCTATAAAGCTCTTGCATTGCTATAAAGAAATACTTAAGACTGGGTAATTTATAAACAAAATAGGTTTAATAGGCTCACAGTTATACAGGTTGTACAGGAATCATGATGCTGGTGTCTTCTTGGATTCTGGGAGGGCTTCAGGAAGCTTGCAATAATGGTAGAAGGAGGAGAGAGGAGCAGGCATGTCACATGGCCAGAGAAGAGGGAGAGAGTGGAGCAGGGAGGTGCCACACACTTAAACAACCAGATCTCATGAGAACTCACTATTGTGAGGACAGCACCAAGGGGACAGTGCCAAACCACTCACTAAAAAATGCATCCCTGTGATCCAGTCACCTCCTGCTAGGCCCATGTCCAACACTGGGGATTATAATTCATCATGAGATTAGAGGGAACACATATCCAAACTATATCACACCTTTATGCCAATAAACCCAAACAACAGAGTTCTATTTTCATAATTTTATATTGTATTTCTTCTTGAGGTCTGTGGCATAGCCATCTCCTGACACAAAGAATACACATTTGATTGCTGAATGAGTAAAATTCCATAATGAGAAATAGGAGAACCCTGAATATGTAGAATGCAATTACTAGTATTTATAGTGTCTGGGTCCTACTGATTCTACTCCTGTTGGAGAAAGAAAAAAGGGGAGGGGAGAGTACATATGAGAGAACACATTAAAAGATTAATGAAATGTTTCGCTTATGGTAAAAAAGTGATAAGAATAAATTCACTCATCTAGTCATGTAACATTTACTCAGCACTTGGCTGATTCCTTTCCTTAGGGAGCTCACAGTCAATAGAGGGTGTCATATGTCAAAATAAATAAATACAGTTTAAAATATGTAAAATATCATTGAACAAAAAATGAACAATTATATGTAATTTTGTGAAAAACTCTCTTTATTTTCAGGAACTCAAAATAGGATGGCCGGTGGCAGAAGCAAAGAGTTTGTCTGGCAAGGACACTTAGGACCAGATGACAGCAGGGCTTAAAAATACTTTAAAATATTTTCCATTTGTCCAAAAGTGTTTTGATTGGTTTGGTTTTATATTGCCAAGTGTAAAACCTACAAATTATTCCTTATTAATGCTTGATAAAGTACCAGTTCCAAACGAAATCTTCACCCAAGCTTTTTAACTATTATCTTTATGAACTGCAACATTCAGGCTTTGTTCAGCTCTTGCAAATAAGGATATCAATTTCATTGGAAATCAATAAGTACCACCGACAAAGAAAGAGAATAGGAGGAAAAAGGGAAGAATGAAACAGATTTCAGTGATCCTCAAGCACATTTGTGGGGTGTTTCTTCCTCACACTAAGATGAAACAGAAACCAAGCAGGAACTGGAGGGGACACTGTTTCTTTCCATTTGAATTAATTTTAATTTTAAAGCCAAATTTTATGGAACTTACCTGAAAAGTTTTTGTAATCCACTAAATCAAACATAACGATGGCAACAGCTGACCACGTGATTATCAGGGCAATGACCAGAAGCCAGGCTGCAGGGGAGCTGAACGTCGTCACTATGTCTTCTGTGACTGTCCTCTTCAGCACTTTTCCGGGGGATTTGGGCACAGATCCATTTTTGCTGTCTATCACAGTTGTGGTTGTAGATGCATTTCCTAATCAAACATTCAGAAAGGAAAATATAATTTAGAGATTCATGGTAAATATTGATGATGAGAAACACTGACTATATGAGTGCTGAACCTGTTTATACTGCTTTCTAGAGCAGCACAACTCCTTAGTGGCAGGACAAAGCCTCCCTGCCCACTAGCACATTATCTTTTCCTCAGCATTTACTATTCTCCCTAAAACTCGTGCGCTCATATAATCAGTGTTTCTCATCTCCTAAGTCCTCTGAGGGAGAATCAACACAAGTGATAAAATGGTTCAAATGGATAAAACTTCTTCTGAATATTTTAACTTAATTGTATAATTGACCCATCTAGTGAGGTCATCTAATGAGGTCATTCATGTTTTGTTTGTTTGTTTGTTTGTTTGTTTGTTTGTAGGGGCACAGAAGATCTAAGATAATGATGTTAGAAAGTCTTACTATATCCAGTACCTCTTTTATTCCTGATTTTAAGAGTCCACATGTTCATGAGAGAAAATTCAAAAAATATAAAAATAAAATAAATAGATAAGCAGATAGTTTTAATCTCACCACCCAGAAATAACCACTGTTAATATTTTGCACGTATATTTCTGTACATACATATAAATATATAAATATGGTTTATCTGGTTTTGACAAGTCATTAGCACATTGTCTTTTACTTTTTTTTACTAGGCAATATATCAGAAGTGTGTTTTATTGCCATTCTGTATTTCTCAAAATACCATTTAAGTGGCTTCATGACATGTAATTTTATGGCTGTGCGTAATTTAATCAAAAACTTTTCTACCTTGGGATAGGGCAGAAATTTTCTCAGCACATATTATTATTTATTTCTTTAGGAGAAAGTCCTAAATATAGAATTCCTGGGACAAATAACATAATCACTTTTATAGCTTTGAGAATACATGCACGTATTTGAAAGTTAGTATCTTTTAAAAATTGTGCATGCCAGTAGTTTTGTTACCTTATCCTTGACAATACTATCAGTGATGTTTAAAATTTTTGCAATAAGAGAAGATTTGAATTTTATTTGCAATATTTGATTACTAGAAATGAGCTGTTTGTATGTTCGTTTTTCCTTGGTATTTCTTTTCTTGTGGATTTTTCCTCCATTTTTCTGTAAACCTCCTTTTGGTGGTTTCTAAAATTGCATACATACACACATATGTAAGATAATAACACTTTAACCTTTATGTTGCCTTTTTTTGGTGACTCTTTACCTTTTCTTTTAATGCTATTTTAATATACAGAACGTACATCTAACAATGGTGTAACTCATTCTTCTTCTATAAAATTGATACTACTGTATGGCTAGAAAGCCTCCTGGATGGAGAGAAAACATGTCTCATTATCTGGGCTACACTTGACTCGTAGAAAGTTAAATCTAGAAGTAACTGAGAGATCATCTGGAACAACTATTTCATGTTACATTTAAGAACAATTGCAGACCTACTAGAAAATTAAAATCATGTTCATAGCACTTTAAATCCCAAATTATACAGATGTGAAGTAAGTAATTGAATACTTAAGGGAAAATAAAACTCTACCAATCCAAATATTTTTGCCAAAAGCAAAGTTAAAAAACATTTTTGTGTATTAAAATACAGACCATATTGTCTATAATAATTTAAGAATTACATGCCAAGAAAGAAAACTTTGATTCAATATAAAATACATGATTACATTGTTTCAATTTTACTATTTATCTCAAAATTGCAACATCTCTATGTGATGGATACATAAGAAAATCTAAATTCTCAAATTTCTTTAACATTTTTCACAAAGTCAGTTTTACCCAACTGGAAAGAGTAGCTGTAGTTTCTTTTAGAATGTGTCCAATAATAATTGAAAGATTTTAGCCTTTGTGCTCTTTGAAGACAGGGTGGAATTAAAGTGCTTCTTTCCATCAGTCTCTTGCTCTACCATCACAACTCTTCCTTTCAGGTATGTCTAGCTTTTCCATGGAAACAGTCAAGCAAAAAAGTTATGCTTTGGGCTTCATAGATAAGAGATTGGAATTAACTCCTGGCTTCTCTCTGCATTACCCAAATGGCTAGAAGGTCGCTATTACACTACATCTCTGAGTGAGAAGCATCTAGATCTGATGAATGAGATTGGTAAGACTCAATTTGCAGGTGTGTGATGGTGGAGAAATAACTCATGCAAATTGTTTGACACATTTCCTGGTACATGGTAGTCATTTAATAAATGACAATACAACAACTACTGAGCTATATCATAATCATTATTATCATCACCACTATTTTCATTTATTACATCACCTTCATTGCTACCAGCACAACTATGACTCTCACTACAACTACAAATATCACTCTAAGAAAAGGCTAGAAAGGCAGGATTAACCTCGGAAACAAAGGTGGAAGCACCAACTCTTCAATAAATGCAGGCATTTGTTTCCATTTAATAAGCACATACATTAGGCTAAGATATTTTCAGGGACTCAAAAAAGGATTCTCTGACTTCCTTGGTATCCTTTCCAATCAATTAATTGACTGCTTGTAATACAGGCAAAGAGGAACATACAGTATAATTTATCCGTACAAGTAGAGGCTGTTTTATCCCATTAGCAAAATTAGAAAAGATGATCTATGGCAAATAGAGTTATTTCATCATGGTACAAACATTATCACTATAACTGAATTCCTTAAATTAGAAAAATAATATTTGAACCCTTCAAACAGCTATGTACACAGGATGCTTGTAGTATAAGTGCAGTTTATAAGATAATTTTTAAGTATTGGAGAAAGAAATAACACTGCCAGCAAAATTAAATACTTTAGTTAATAAAGTCTTACTCTTCTGGTTTCTTTAGTCATAAAATAATACTATCCTTCTCTTTACAAAAATGAGATAAATAACATGAAATTCTATGACTAATCAGGAAAGAAAATCAAATGCATTCAAGAGCACATACTAACAGGTGGTAACCAAACAAAATTAGTTTTTTAGTTATTTTTTAGATAACAGTGATAAATTTAGCCCCATATTTTCAAAAAATTCAAAAGCTGATAAGGAACATCGGAGCAAAATAATTTAATTAAGATGTTTAAATGGCTTTAGGTAGAAATTAACAATAGTGACAACAAATCTCTTTTCGGAAAAAAAACTGTGGAATACATATCCGAAGTTCTTGAACTTAACTTAGTGAAAATGATAGCAAGATAAAAAAAATACTTCTAAAACCCAGATTTCACAAACTGCACTTGAGGTGGTGCTCAAGAAGGAAAATTTTAAAAGGACTCATATAATATCTTCTCATTGATTATTGTGCCAAATTCACATCACTCCTAATGGTAGTTCTGAAAATGGATGAATGATAGGAGTGCTTTGAAATGCAATTTAAGACCCAAGTGGGGCTACAAGTGAATCAAACCTTTGGAATAATGATTTGCAGCAAAGTAAACCAATTATGAGTGTTTAGGACTGGCCCACCTGAAAGTTGATATGTTGTAATCTGCAGTTTTTTAACCACTGGAAGCCTTCCTACTACCACTAAGCAGAGAACACAAGAATTTGCTTTTGCACTTCAGATTCACTGTATTGAGTTGTATATTAGAGACTATTTCTGTAAACAGTATTACACATACCTGCTTTGTATACCGAAACTCAAGGAGTAATTTTACTGAGATTTGATATGAATGAGTTGAATCCTGGTCACATTGTAAAAAGGCTAAACATTTAAAACAGAACATGAATTTATATATACATATATATATATATATATATATATATATATATATATACACACATTTTCCTTTCTTTGATCAAAAAATTGAGAAAGTATAAATATTCAGAAATGCAAGCTCTGAGTTAAAAATGAATTTTACGTTTTCTAAACAACTGACATAATATGAATTCTAAATTTGTATTCACTTAATGATCCTTCCAATCCAATTATGGTACAATTTTTAAATAGATGAAAATGATAAATTAATACTGTTATGTTTTTCATTGTCCTTTTTTTAATCTTCACACCCTCAAAATTTCCACTTAAGAATTAATCATGACTCAAAGATACTGAAAATATGTTCTGAGTATACAACCCCAAAGCTATAAGCAATTTGAAAGTAATCTGAAGGTCATCCTTCTTAAAGAAAATTATGTGTTGCCCTTGTTATGAAACACATTAAGTTGTACCTTTCAATTTCCATTCAAAATTACTGCAGAAGCCACACAGAGCCAAGAGGAATAAAATTGAGAGGGAATAAATTGCCTTCTCTGACAGCTGGTCAAGATAAATGCAAAGAACAGAGTATGTGATCTGAGATTATTTAATGTTTGAGAAGCACTTTAAAGATGACAAGAGCTAGTTATTGATATGGCAGAAAAAATGAGAGGTAAATATTACCGAGCAATTTGACATGGGCTATGCCTCTTGAAAGTTGGTATCTCAGAATTGGAGCAGAGCAGCTAGGATATGTAAAGCACTTTCCAGGCCTGCTTTTTAATTCTATTCATTTTGATTTCATACAAAATTTTGATTGTCAGACAGAATCAGCCTCAAAAGAAGTAGGGATCTCACTTAATGGCCATGCGACTCTTTCCTATAGAGTAAAAGGAGGGATTGCTTATATAATGGATCTAAAGACTGGCTCTAGAGTCAGGTTATATGCAGAAGAATAAGCCATAAGCCTCCTGATAGAAGTCACTTAACCTCATGATGCCTTATCGATCAGATGAAGAAACTGCCAAGTGCACTTCCATATTATTATTCTTTATTTTTCCTGTGGGACGCTGACAATACAATCTCTTTCAGGATGCTCAAGGAAGACACCTACATTCTAGAATGGTATAAATGAAACATTGCATTCTCATTACATAAAAGCATTAATTATGATTTTGCATTTCACCCTGTGATGTGGTTTGTGTAGTACTCTTACACTGTATCTCTCTTTCAAGATGTGTAGAGCAAATGAGAGAAAGGAAGTATATACTACTGATGGCATTATATGTGTTATTCCCAAATTACTTTAAGAACATAATTCCCAATCACATGAAAAAGTGACTCTTGCTATATTGTTTGTGTTCCAAAATACATGCATGTAAATAAGAACTTCATAGAAATTCAAGTGGAAAGACATTTGGGCAGATAAAGCTCAAACATAATAAATTCATTATTTAACTTAAAATGTTTTTTACCAATTCTAGTGTTTACAAAATGTAAACTAGTCTCTGGACACTTTTAATGAATGCCCTAAATTGCCACCTTTTCTCCCAGGTTTTTGGGATATGATTATCATAATGCAATTTCAGAGGGTGTTTTTGCCACTTAGTCTGTCTGCTGAGGTTGACATATGTATGGTTTTTCTTTTTTAATTTATTTTTATTTTTATTTTATTTATCTATTTATTTTAACATTATCTGGCACTCCTTCCTACCTACCCACTCCATTCACTCTTCCATTGAGTGGAACGGATGAGGAGTCTCTCCCAGGCCGCTTTTATAAGGTCACTAATTCCATTCATGGGCTCCACCTTCCTGCCCTAATCACTCCCCAGTGGCCCCAACTCCTAATGCCATCACCTTAGGAATGAGGATTTCAATGTGTATTTTGGAGAGACACAAACATTCAGACCATAGCAATGAAGGTCTACTGCCAGGAAAGGGAGGTCTGGGAAACAAGGGCTGGTTCCATTTCTAGTCCCACCACTAGAAAAAGAAATTCACTTAATGGAACAGTGGATTGAGTGAAATTCACTTAATGGAACAGTGGATGGAGTGGGTGGCAATTTAGGGCTTTCATGAAAAGTGTCAGGAGACATGTGACATCAGTTTACATATAACTCACCTGCACATGTACTGCCAAACTTAAAATAAAATAAAAAAAAAAGAAAATGCCAACTTCATAAGGTAGGGGGAAAGTGAATTTACAGGAGTTAAAATAAGAAGGAACATTAGCACTGTTGAGAAGTAGGCTATCAAATCACAGCAAGTGCCTTCATTTGCTCAGGCTGCTTTGACAAAATACTATAAACTAGGTAGCTATCAACAAGAAACATTTATTTCTTACAGTTCTAGTGGCTTGGAAATTGCAAGGTCAAGGCAGATTTCATTTCACGGGGGTTTGTTGTACAGGTTATTTCATCACCCCAGTACTAAGCTTCGTTACCCAACAATTATTTTTTTTCTGCTCCTGTCCCTCCTGCCACCCTCCACCCTCAAGTAGGCCCCAGTGTCTGTTGTTCCCTTCTTTGCATTCATGAGTTGTCATCATTTAGTTCCCACTTATAAGTGAGAACATGCGATATTTCATTTTCTGTTCCTGCATTAGTTTCCTAAAGATAATAGCCTGCAGCTCCATCCATGTTCCCACAAAAGACATGATCTTGTTCTTTTTATGGCTGCATAGTATTCCATGGTGTATATGTACCACATTTTCTTTATTTAATCCGTCATTGGTGGGCATTTAGGTTGATTTCATGTCTTTGCTATTTGATAATGCTGCAAAACATTTGCATGCATGTGTCTTTAAGGTAGAATAATTTCTATTTCTCTAAGCATAGACCCAGTATGGGATTGCTGGGTTGAATGAGTTCTGTTTTTAGTTCTTTGAGGAATCACCATACTGCTTTCCACAATAGTTGAACAAATTTATACTTCCACCAACAGTGTATAAGTGTTCCCTTTTCTTTGCGGCCTCACATCTGTTATTTTTTGACTTTTTAATGATAGCCATTCTGACTGGTGTGAGATAGTATCTCATTGTAGTTTTCATTTGCATTTCTCTAAAGATCAGTGATATTGAGCTTTCTTCATGTGCTTGTTGGCTGCATGTATATCTCCTTTTGAAAAGTGTCTTTTCATGTCCTTTGCCCACTTCTTAATGGAGTTGTTTGTTGTCCTCTTGTAAATTTAAGTTATTTATAGATGCTGGATATTGGACCTTTGTCAGATACATAGTTTGCAAAAATTTTCTTCCATTCTGTATGTTGTCTGTTCATTCTGGTGATAGTTTCCTTTGCCGTGCAGAAGCTCTAAAGTTTAATTAGATCTTGTTTGTCAATTTTTACCTTTGTTGCTATTGCTTTTGGTATCTTTGTCATGAAATCTTTGCCCATTCCTATGTCCAGGATGATATTGCCTAGGTTGTTTTCCAGATTTTTTGTAGTTTTGGGTTTTACATTTAAGTCTTTAATCCATCTTGAGTTGATTTTTGTATAAGGTGTAAGGAAGTTGTCCAGTTTCAATCTTCTGCATATGGCTAGCCAGTTATCCCAGCATCATTTATTGAGTAGGGAGTCATGTGACATGAGTTTACATATAACTTCCCCATTGCTTGTTTTTGTCAGCTTTGTCGAAGATCAGAGGGTCGTAGGTATGGGGCCTTATTTTTGTGCCCTATATTCTGTTCCATTGGTCTATGTGACTGTTTTTGTATGAGTACCATGCTATTTCGCTCACTGTAGCCCTGTAGTATGGTTTGAAGTTGAGTAATGTAATGCCTCCATCTTTTTCCTTTTTGCTTAGGATTGTCTTGGCTATTTGGGCCCTTATTTTGGTTTTATACATATTTTAAAATATTCTTCTAGTTCTGTGAAGAATGTCACTGGTAGTTTGATAGAAACAGCACTGAATCTATAAATTGCCTTGGGCAGTATGGCCATTTTAATGATATTATTTTTATCCGTGAGCATGGGATGTTTTTCTGTTTGTTTTGCCTTCTCTGTTTCCTTTGAGCAGTGTTCTGTAATTCTCATTGTAGAGATCTTTTACCTCCCTGGTTACATGTACTCCTAGGTGGTTTTTTCGTGTGTGTGGCAATTGTGAATGTAATTGCCTTCCTGATTTGGCTGTCAGCTTGGCTGTTGTTGGTGTATAGGAATGCTACTGATTTTTGTACATTACTTTGTATTCTGACATTTTGCTGAAGTTGTTTATCAGCTTAAGGAGCTTTCAGGCCAAGACTATTGATATTTTTAAATATAGAATCATGTCATCTGCAAATAGAAATAGTTTGACTTTCTATCTTCCTATTTGGATGCCCTTTATTTCTTTCTCTTGCCTGGACAGGATTACCAATACTATGTTGAAGAAGAGTGGTAGGAGAGAGCATCATTTTCTTGTGCTGGTTTTCAAGGGAAATGCTTCCAGATTTTGCCCCATCAGTATGACGTTGGCTGTGGGTTTATCACAGATGGCTCTTATTATTTTGAGGTATGTTCCTTCAATACCTAGTTTATTGAGAATTTTTAACATAAAGGAATGTTGAATTTTATCAGAACCTTTTTCTTCATCTATTGAGATAATCATGTGGTTTTTATCTTTGGTTCCATTTATTTGATGAATCAAATTTATTGATTTGCATATGTTGAACCAACCTGGCATCACAGGGATGAAGACTACTTGATAGTGATCGATTAGCTTTTTGATGTGCTGACGGATTTGGTTTGCAAGATTTTGTTGAGGATTTTTGCATCAATGTTTATCAATAACATTGGCATGCCATTTTCTTTTTTTGTTGTTGTGCCTCTGCCAAGTTTTGGTATGAGGATGATGCTGGCCTCATATAATGAGTTGGAGAGGAGTGCCTCTGATGTGGTTAGGCTCAATGTCCCTACCCAAATCTCATCTTAAATTGTAATCCCTATAATCCCCACATGTCAAGAGAGAGACCAGGTGGAATTAATTGAATCACGGGGGCAGTTTCCCCCAGGCTGTTCTTGTGACGAGTGAGTTCTCACAAGACCTGATAGTTTTATAAGGGGCTCTGCCCCCTCCCTCACTCAGCACTTCTCCTTCTTGCTACCCTGAAAAGAAGGTGCCTTACTTTCCTTTCACCTTCCACCATGATTGTAACTTTCCTGAGGCCTCCCCAGCTATGCTGAACTGTGAGTCAATTAAACCTCTTTCCTTTATAAATTACACAGTCTCAGGCAGTTCTTTATAGCAGTATGAAAAGGAACTAATACACAATTTTAGAAGGAATGGTACCAGCTCTTCTTTGTATATCAATTAATAATAGAATTCAGCTGTGAATCTATCTGGTCCCAGGCTTTTTTTGGTCAGTAGGGTACTTGTTACTGACCATTTCAGTCCATTTCAGAGCTCGTTATTGGTCTTTGACTTTACATTTTCAATTTAGCAGGTCCTCACCATTCAGAACACTATTTTTTCTACAAACAGTAAATTGAATTTAAAGGTGAAAAGCAATGATGAGAGCATAACTATGTAAAATCAGTAAAATTTAAAAGCTGGAATTTAAAGGCTAGTAAAATTTAAAAGCTAAAATTTAAAATTTAGAACCCCCAAAAAACACTTTAAGCCTTGAGAAAGATGGGACTGTGATCTGAGTTACCTAGAGTTACAACTTCTCAGATTATAGATTAACTCACCTGCATATTTTTCTTGTTCTCTGCAATGGCTAGACAGAATTAAATGACATCAGGGAAAACCTCTTGCCTTCTAATGACATTGTTATAGATTAACTTCCTCTTTGTTGTCCTGGTTTGCTTAGAACAGATGACAGAAAACCATGATTATTATACCCTTTATAAAATATATATTAAATGTACCCTGTCAAAAAGAGACCCTGCCTATCACCAATCAAATAGCTGTAACTATGCAACAACCTTGTATAAATAATGTTGGAAAACTGCTTAGAGTTCTTCTCTATGTAAATAAAGCCTCAACCTCTCTACTTTGGAACACTGACTTCATTCCTTTGTAGTTGGTGTTTCCAAGTGGTCCATCCTCACAGTTTGCACTTGAAGAAACTCTCTTTAAATTATTAGATTATGATACTTTTAATTATTTTAGGTTGAAAACTAGAATTCATTTCTTAATTTAATTTTTTATTATTTCTAGAGACAGGGTCTCGCTGTATTGCCTAGGCTGGTCTCAAACCCCAGCCTCAAGTGATCCTTTCCCAACAGCCTCCCAGGCATCTGAGACTACAAGGAAGAGCTGCCACACTTGGCTAGAATTCATTTTTTGAAGCCAGAGATATTGAATTCCTGAGACATTACAGGTGAAGCCCATTGCATTTTACTAATTTAAAGTGGCCAAAAGTTCCTGATGAATCTGTATTTATTTTTTTAAAACAATCTTATTAAATTCCCACTGTTTAAATCTAACTCCTCTTCCAAGATTTACCTCAGATGTCAACTCCTTGACAATATTTCCTTAATCTTTTGACCTGAACTCTACTCTTCTTACTTGTAATACCATAGCATTTTTTGATGAATACTGTGATGTGAACAAAATTATTCTGACTTTTTTTATAGATCTTTGTTCTTCAACAAGGCCCTAGGTAGGGATCAAGTCATCTATCCTTTCATAGCACTTAGCATAGCACATTTTGCACAGTTAAGGCCCCAATAGTTATTAAATATGAGAAATATTAGAAGTGTTGCTACAGGAAATCAGCTTTAAAAAGTGTCATGTTAAATAACCTCAATATTTCTGCATATAGAAGGTTATGCGGTATATAGTGACCTCTAATCCAAGAAATAAATAAGTAGCAAAGAAAACATTTTCATGATATGAGAAAACGTTGAGATGAGAGGTATGCTAGTGGTAGAAGTAAAAACATGTCTGTTCAAGAGAATCTCATAAGAACTGCAAAGTTTTGCTGGTCCAAAGAAGGCTACAACAGTGGAGGAAAGACTAATGTTTTAGAAAAAAATGACAGAAAGAAAGCATATATTCAGTAAATAATGCCAATCATCAAACAGAGAAAACTTTTTGTAAGGAGACAATTTCAGATGTTATTAAACCTTTTAAATTTCCAAGTGGCAACATCTGGGAGAGGTTTCCAAAACCAGATTGAAGAGATTAAATGGGTAGATAGCCAATCAAAAAGAATCAAACTCTGTAAAATAAATGAATGGATTTATTCTGAGCCAAATATAAGTGACCAAGGCCCAAGGCACATCTCAAGAGGTCCCAAGAACATATGCCAAAGGTGAATGGGTTACAGCTTGATTTTACACATTTTAGGGGGACAAAAGTTACAGGCAAAACCAATAATCAATACATGTACCCTATACATTGGTTCAGTTCAGAAGAGTGAGACAACTCGAAATGGGGGGCATTTCCACTCGAACTGAGGGGCAGATCATAGGCAGATTCAAAGATTTTCTGATTGACGGCTGGTTGAAAAAGTTAAGTAAGAGTTAGTTTATTATCTAACAACCCAGAATCAATAGACAGGTGTGTCTGGGTTAAGATAAGGAGTTATGGATTTCATGCGCGTCCGTGTGAAGAGACCACCAAACAGGCTTTGTGTGAGCAATAAAGCTGTTTATTTCACCTGGGTGCAGGTGGGCTGAGTCCAAAAAGAGAGTCAGTGAAGGGAGATAGGGGTGGGGCCGTTTTATAGGATTTGGGTAGGTAAAGGAAAAAGGGGGGTTGTTCTCTGGCAGGCAGGAGTGGGGGGCACAGGTACTCAGTGGGGGCGCTTTTGAGCCAGGATGAGCCAGGAGAAGGAATTTCACAAAACAATGTCATCAGTTAAGGCAGGAACAGGCCATTTTCACTTCTTTTATGGTGGAATGTTATCAGTTAAGGCAGGAACCCGCGATCTGGATGTGTACGTGCAGGTCACGGGATATGATGGCTTAGCTTGGGCTCAGAGGCCTGACATTCCTGTCTTCTTATATTAATAAGAAAAATAAAATGAAATAGTGGTAAAGTCTTGGGACAGCAAAAATTTTGGGGGATGGTATGGAGAGATAATGGGCGATGTTTCTCAGGGCTGCTTTGAGTGGGATTGGGGGGGCGTGGGAACCTAGAGTGGGAGAGATTAAGCTGAAGGAAGATTTTGTGGTAAGGGGTGATATTGTGGGGTTGTTAGAAGGAATAGTTGTAATTTAGAAGTATTGGTGATGGCCTGGATAACAGTTTTGTATGAATTGAAAAACTAAACGGAATAAGAGAAGGAGAAAAACAGGTATAAAAGGTCTAAGAATTGGGATGACTCAGGACATCTGCTTAGAGAGTGCCTAAGGAGATCAGCATAGTCCTGCCAGCAAAGATTATTTATTTACTTCAAGAGTTAAGAGTGGCAGTTTGGGGATGGCACCAGGAGATATCAGCTGTGATGGCTTGGAGAAACTGTAAACCGGCAGTGTAAACAATAGCAGGGCATGTATGAGTAGTTGAGAACGGTGAATAGGAGTATGACTAGACAGAAGATAGTAGGGATGACAAGTTTTTGGGGGGCACAGTCTAAGTTCTGGTGTCTGGAATGAGACTGGGGCCTAATAAAAAGGAACGTCTATACAGGAGCTCAAATGGGCTGTACCTTGTAGTATTCTGAGGACAGGTCTGACTTCTGAGAAGGGAAAGTCATAAAAGTATTATCCAGTCCTTTTTAAGTTGGTGGCTGAGCTTGGTGAGGTGTGTTTTTAAAAGACCTTTAGTCTGTTCTACTTTTCCTGAAGATGGAGGACCGTAAGGGATATAAAGGTTTCACTGAATACTAGGAGCCTGAAAAACTGCTTGGCTGATTTGACTAATAAAAGCTTGTCTGTTATCAGACTGTATTGAGGTAGGAAGGCTAAACTGAGGAATTATGTCTGACAGAAGGGAAAAAATGACTGTGGTGGCCTTCTCAGACCCTGTAGGAAAGGACTCTACCTATCCAGTGAAAGTGTCTACCTAGACTAACAGGTATTTTAGTTATCTGACTCCGGGCATGTTGAGTAAAGCTAATTTGCCAGTCCTGGGTGGGGCCAAATCCTCAAGCTTGATGTGTAGGGAAGGGAGGGGGCCTGAATAATCCCTGAGGAGTGGTAGAATAGTAGATGGAACACTGAGAAGTTATTTCCTTGAGGATAGATTTCCACGATGGAAAGGAAATGAGAGGTTCAAAGAGGCGGGATAGTGGCTTGTACTATAGCATAGCCTGCCTTTGCTGGTGTGTGGCGATTAGGCCTAGTGGAACTGCCATCAATAAATCAAGCGTGATCAGGGTGAGGAACAGGAAAGAAGGAAATATGGGGAAATGGGGTGAATGTCAGGAGGATCAGACAGATACAGTCATGGAGGTCGGGTGTGGTATCAGGAATAATGTGGGAGGCTGGATTGAAGTCCGGGCCAGGAACAATGGTAATTGTGGGACTTAACAAAGAGTGAGTACAGCTGAAGGAGCCGGGGAGCAGAAAGTATATGCGTCAGATATGAGGAAGAAAATAGATTTTGGAAGTTATGAGAAATGTAGAGAGTAAGTTGAGCATAGTTTGTGATTTTGACGGCCTCTAAAAGTATTAGGGTGGCAGCAGCCGCTGCACGGAGACATGATGCCTAGGCTAAAACAGTAAGGTCAAGTTGTTTGGACAGAAAGGCTACAGGGTGCGGTCCTGGCTCTTGTGTAAGAATTCTGACCGCACTAACCATGCCTAGGAAGGAAAGGAGTTGTTGTTTTGTAAGGGATTGAGGTTTGGGAGATTAATCGGACACGATCAGCAGGGAACGCACGTGTGTTTTTATGAGATTATGCCGAGATAGGTAACAGATGAGGATGAAATTTGGGCTTGACTGAAGTAATGGGGGCTGTCTGTGAAGCCTTGCGGCAGTACAGCCTAGGTAATTTGCTGAGCCTAGTGGGTGTCAGGGTCAGTCCAAGTGAAAGCCAAGAGAGGCTGGGATGAAGGGTGGAAAGGAATAGTAAAGAAAGCATGTTTGAGATCCAGAACAGAATAATGGATTGTGGAGGGAGGTATTGAGGATAGGAGAGTATATGGATTTGGAACCACGGGGTGGATAGGCAAAACAATTTGGTTGATAAGGCGCAGATCCTGAACTAACTTGTAAGGCTTGTCTGGTTTTAGGACAGGTAAAATGGGGGAATTGTAAGGAGAGTTTATAGGCTTTAAATGGCCATGCTGTAGCAGGCAAGTGATAACAGGCTTTAATCCTTTCAAAGCATGCTGTGGGATGGGATATTGGCATTGATTGGAGTAAGGGTGATTAGGTTTTAATGAGATGGTAAGGGGTGCATGATCGGTTGCCAAGGAGGGAGTAGAGGTATCTTATACTTGTGGGTTAAGGTGGGGGAATACAAGAGGAGCACGCAAAGGAGGCTTTGGATTGGGAAGAAGGGCAGCAATGAGATGTAGCTGTAATCCAGGAATAGTCAGGGAAGCAGATAATTTAGTTAAAGTGTCTCGGCCTAATAGGGAACTGGGCAGGTGGGGATAATTAAAAGGAGTGCTTAAAAGAGTATTGTCTAATTTGGCACCAGAGTTGGGGACTTTTAAGAGGTTTAGAAGCCTGGCCATCAATACCCACAACAGTTATGGAGGCAAGGGAAACAGGCCCTTGAAAAGAAGGTAATGTGGAGTGAGTAGCCTTGGTATTGATTAAGATGGGGACAGACTTATCCTTCACTGTTAGAGTTACCCGAAGCTCGGCATCCATGATGGTCTAGGGGGCTTCCGAGGCGATTGGGCAGCGTCAGTCTTCAGCCGCTAAGCCAAGAAGATCTGGGAAGGAGTCTGAGAGCCTTGGGCCAGAGTTCCAGGGGCTCTGGGAGTGGCTGCCGGGTGAGTTGGACAGTCCGATTTCCAGTGGGGTTCCGTACAGATGGGACGTGGCTTAGGAGGAATCCTGGGCTGCAGGCATTCCTTGGCCTGGTGGCCAGATTTCTGGCACTTGTAGCAAGCTCCTGGGGGAGGAGGTTCTGGAGGAACGCCTGCCCGCTGTGGTTCAGGCATTTGGAAGTTCTTGTGTGCTGGAGATGTGGCTGGGGTTTGTCTCACAGTGGAGGCAAGGAATTGCAACTTTTTTCTATTATTGTACACCTTGAAGGCGAGGTTGATTAAATCCTGTTGTGGGGTTTGAGGGCCAGAATTTAATTTTTGGAGTTTTATTTAATGTCGGGAGCAGATTGGGTAATAAAATGTATTTTGAGAATAAGACGGCCTTTTGACCTTTTAGGGTCTAGGGCTGTAAAGTGTCTCAGGGTTGCTGCCAAACGAGTCATGAACTGGGCTGGGTTTTTCATATTTGATGAAAGAGTCTAAATGCTCACTGATTTGGGAGAGGTCTGATAAAGAAAAAGGAGCATTAACCTTGACTATGCCTTTAGCTTCAGCCACCTTTTTAAGAGTAAATTGCTGGGCAGGTGAGGGCTAGTCACGGAATGAAACTGTAAGCCGGACCGGGTGTGAGGAGGGGAGATGATAAAAGGATTATAGGGTGGAGGACCGGAGGCTGAGGAAGAATTGGGACCTAGCTCGGCCTGGCGAGGAGGGGAGAGGTCAGATGTGTCTGTAGAAAAGGAAGAGTAGAAAGACTCAGTGATGCTTGGGGTTGGGACTGAGGGGACAGGTGGGAGGGAAAGGAGGAAGATTTGGGATGAGTTGCATTGGGAACAGAGACTATAGAGGGACTGATGTGTAAAAGAATGCCTGGATGTCAGGCACCTCAGACCATTTGCCCATTTTACAACAAGAATTATTTAGATCTTGAAGGATGGAAAAATTGAAAGTGCCGTTTTCTGGCTATTTGGAACTACTGTCGAGTTTGTATTGGGGTCAAGCGGCATTGCAGAAGAAAATAAGACACTTAGATTTTAGGTTAGATGAGAGTTGAAGAGGTTTTAAGTTCTTAAGAACACAGACTAAGGGAGAAGAAGGAGGAATGGAGGGTGGAAGGTTGCCCATAGTGAAGGAGACAAACCCAGAGAAAAGAGAGAGTAGAGACATGGAGGGAAGGGGTTTGGGGGTTCTTACCCTCCAGAAAAGCGGGAAAGGGGTCGGGGCACAGAGATACAAGGTCAGGGCATGGAAATAAGGGATTGGGGTGCAGAGATATAAGAGGTTAGGGCACAGAAATAATGGATTGGGGTACAGCGATATAAGAGGTTGGGGCACGGAAATAAGGGATGGGGGCACAGAGATATGAGGTTGGGGTACTTGCCCCTCCTCTAGAAAAGCGGGACTTGCTGCTCAGGGTGAAGGAAAAGGGGTTGGGGGTTTCTTGCCCCCCAGAAAGGTGGAAAAGAGGTAGAGACACAGAGAGAAGGGGTTGGGGTACTTGCCCCTTCCCCAGAAAAGCGGGACTTGCCACTAAGGATGAAGGACCAAGGCAGGCGTCCCTGCGTGGTCTGACACCTCTGAAACCTGGACGAATAATCAGAGAGGTGTCCCTCCAATGATTAAACACCAAGGGAAGGCTGCCTTCCCTAGTCCATGACTGGCGCCAGAGTTTTGGGTCCACGGATAAAACGTGTCTCCTTTGTCTCTACCAGAAAATGAAAGGAATTGAAATTAAGAGAAGGAAGAGATTGAAGAGTGGAAAGGAGAAAGTGGTTGAGGGACAGTGAGAGAGGTTGGAGAAGAGAGTAAGAAGAGTCTGCTTACCCGATTTAAAATTGGTGAGATGTTCCTTGGGCTGGTCGGTCTGAGGACCTGAGGTCGTAAGTGGATCTTTCTCACGGAGCAAAGAACAGGAGGACAGGGGATTGATCTCCCAAGGGAGGTCCCCTGATCTGAGTCGCGGCACCAAATTTCATGTGCGTCCGTGTGAAGAGACCACCAACAGGCTTTGTGTGAGCAATAAAGCTGTTTATTTCACCTGGGTGCAGGTGGGCTGAGTCCAAAAAGAGAGTCAGTGAAGGGAGATAGGGGTGGAGCTGTTTTATAGGATTTGGGTAGGTAAAGCAAAAGGGGGGGTTGTTCTCTGGCAGGCAGGAGTGGGGGTCACAAGGTACTCAGTGGGGGAGCTTTTGAGCCAGGATGAGCCAGGAGAAGGAATTTCACAAGACAATGTCATCAGTTAAGGCAGGAACAGGCCATTTTCACTTCTTTTGTGGTGGAATGTTATCAGTTAAGGCAGGAACTGTCGATCTGGATGTGTACGTGCAGGTCACAGGGGATATGATGGCTTAGCTTGGGCTCAGAGGCCTGACAATGGAGATCAAGTTTCTTATTATGTAAGTGAAGCCTTCAGGTAGCAGGCTTCAGAGAGAATAGATGGCAAATGTCTCTTATCAGACCCCAAAAGGTGCTAGACTCTCAGTTACTCTCTCCTGCATCAGGACAAGATCTGGAAAGGGAGGGAAATTCTCTACAGAATGTAGATTTTCCGCAAGAGACAGCCTAATAAGGCCATTTCAAAATATGTCAAATATATTTTGGGGTACAATATTTTTATTTCTTGTAGGGTCTGCTATCTGTCACATGATGCTATACTAGTCAAGTTGGAATCTGGTATCTTATTGCTACAAAGAGTCTGTTTCGCAACTCTTAAAAATCTCTGTTTTAATGTTAATGCTGGCAAGTTGCACCTGAATTCCAAAGGGAAGGAGATATAAGGAGACATGTCTGACACCTCCTTCCCATCATGGCCTGAACTAGTTTTTCAGGTTTACTTTGGAGTTCCCTGGGCAGAGAGGAAGGAGCCATTCAGTAAGTTGGGGATTTAGAGTTTTATTTTTACTTTACAAAATGAATAAAAATCCTGATCATCAATTTACAAATGTGTGATGATTTATGATCTCAGTCTGCTTGGGCTGCCATAACAAAATACTATCCCTAGTGTGCTTAAACAGGAGACATTTACTTCTGAGAGTCTGAAGGCTATTCTAAACTAATTACCTCTTGAAGGCCCCTATCTATAAATACCATTACATTAAGGGTAAGGATTTCAACATGAAAGTTTTATCGGGCAGGGCTGAATGCAAACCAGTCCATAGCATGTATCTTTTTCTGGGAATGTTTAAAGAAATGCTGTAAAAGACTATTAGTATATGTTAAACTTGATAAGCTTGGCTATTTTAATAGAATAAATATCTTTCATGTTAAAATAACAGAAATCATGGCCAGGATTCCTTATTACCACTACATGCCCAAGTAGCCTAAATCAAAATGTCAGAGGGCACTATGTACAGTGGGACAGATTAGGGATAAAAATTAACAGGACCCATGAAAAGACCTTTTACGAAAATAAATTTGACAGGTTGAATCAGTTTCATTGTAGAAAAATTATTCATCTTCCTCTCATGAACCCAGGAAGTCTCATGCAGTAAGATAAGCCATTCCAGGATTTGCCCAACTTTGTGAATTAGAAGTTTGCGGAAAGAATCTGCAGAAAATCTCCCAAATTATGTGGGTTCAATCTCACGGATATAGTAGCAAGGCTCTGGTTCTTAGCAAATATCATTTGAATAAGATAAACATAAGATCCATGAACTATACTCAGTTCATTTGGGAAATTAATTTTCTAGTATTTTATGTTTGTGCTGACACATTTTCTTCCTGGGCCAAATTTGCACAAATAAAACTTTACCTAGCCCCAGCATTCCTCCTACTAAATTGTCCCATTGTCATTGAATTGCAAACCCACTGAAACAGAAAAGCCTTGAGTAATGACATGCCATTTCAATTTGGAAAAAAATACTAAGCTGAATGCTTCAGAATCATGAGCTTTTCATGATTTGTTGACTCTAATGTGCGTTTTTTACTTTCTCTTTCCTAAAGATATTTTCATGGAAATCAGCTCTTCCTTAAGAATTAATCATTTCCTGCTGCTTTACCCCACATGGAGTCATAATCACACTATTGTGTCACAGTAGATTCTATTTTATTACCTGTAAGAGAGTATGACAGTCCCCCTCCTTCAAAGGCACACAAGGTAACCATAAGTTCATGCAGATGTATTCACTAGTAATGATAAATACTTCATATAAAGCTTCTGCTTAAGACTGTAGGCAGAAAATTGTAGATTCCTCATATTGCCAATAGCTACTTTCAGGAAATTTATGGAAGTGCAAGAACTAAGACCCAAGTTTCTTTTTTAAATTTTACTTTTTTCAGTATTCAGGCAAATGTGATGAAGCAACCTGTTTTTTAAAAATATATTTAAATATAAATGATAGTAGTCCTATATTTTCTACTTATAAGGAAATTTCCATCCATTTGTTGGAAAAGTAGTGATAATTTAACAATTACAATTTTTAATATGTATGTGTATATGACTAGAGATATGTTACAGCTGGAGTCCCCAACCCCCAGGCCACGGACCCATTAGGAACCAGGTCACACAGCAGGAGGTGAGCAGCGGGTGGGCAGGCAACACTTTATCTGTATTTACAGCCACTCTCCAGGGCTTGCATTACCGCCTGAGCTCCATCTCCTGTCAGATCAGCAGCGGCATTAGATTCTCATAGGATCATGAACCCTATAGTGAATTGTGCATGGGAGGAATCTAGGTTGTTGGTTCCTTATGAGAATCTAATGCCTGATGATCTGTCACTGTCTCCAATCGCCCCCAGGTGGGACTGTCCAGTTACAGGGAACACACTTCAGAGTTTCTACCAATTCTACATTATGGTGAGTTGTATAATTATTTTATTATATATTACAATGTAATAATAATAGAAACAGGGCCAGTCGCTGTGGCTCACACCTGTAATCCCAGCACTTTGGGAGGCCGAGGCAGGCAGATCATGAGGTCAGGAGTTTGAGACCAGCCTGGCCAACATAGTGAAACCCCGTCTCTACTAAAAATACAAAAATTAGCCGGGTGTGTGGCACATGCCTATAGTCCCAACTACTTGGGAGGCTGAGGCAGGAGAATTGCTTGAACTCTGGAAGCAGAGGTTGCAGTGAGCCAAGACCGTGCCCATTCTACTCCAGCCTGGGCGAAAGAGTGAGACTCTGTCTCAAAAAAAATAATAATGATAGTAGTAATAATAGAAATAAAGTGCACGATAAATATAATGTGCTTAACTCATCCTGAAACCATGTCCCCTGCCCTGGCCTGTGGAAAAATTGTCTTCCACAAAACTGGTCTCTGGTGCCAAAAAGAATGGAAACCACTGTTTTAAAATATATAATCAGTAAACAGGGAAAGGACTGAATTTATTGAGTAGCCCAAGCGCTTTGATATAAAAAATTATAATAAAATATGTCTACTTTCATGCATCTTTAATTATCAGTAATATAAATTTGTCAGTAATATAAATTGGCACTTTCTTTAGTGACTCCAGAATTAATGCTATTACCACAATTGTGTAGAAAACAAATCCATAGAGTATTTTTCTCTCTCATATAGTAAAATATTTAAGAATTTTGTGAGAAAAAATATATATTTAAATATGGACACCATTGTATTAACATATCATTATATTTGTTTTACCTGAACCCAAATATTTTTTTTTCTTTGAGATGGAATTTCACTCTTGTTGCCCAGGCTGGGGTGCAGTGGCACGATCTTGGCTCACTGCAACCTCCACCTCCTGGGTTCAAGCAATTCTCCTGCCTCAGCCTCCTGAGTAGCTGGGATTACAGGCATGCCCCACCACGCCCAGCTAATTTTTGTATTTTTAGTACAGATGGGGTTTCACCATGTTGGCCAGGCTGGTCTCGAACTCCTGACCTCAGATGATCCACCTGTCTCAGCCTCTCAAAGTGCTGGGATTATAGGCATGAGCCACCATGTCCAGTCCCAAATCTTTATTAAGTTATTTAAAAGGTTTAGAACAGATCATGATAGTTTTGCCCAAACCTCTATCTTTCTGGACTGAGTATACACATCTCACGAAGGAAATACACGTATTTTAAGAAGAAAATGCAGCCTGAAAATTTAGAGAGATAAGGTTTCCTATGTGTTTTGTTTTTATCATTTAATCTATGAAGAAAAAAACCAGCAGCTTCCTGTGCCTTTCAAAGGACTTTTAAATGAGCTTGAAGCTCCTTTATGTGCTTCTGAAAAGAACATTAAGGTATTCATGCCCATATTTCAAAAGAGCAAGCAATTAGGTAAACACAAATAATACTTTATACAACACCTTTCTTCTAAAAAGCTCACACAGTTTTAGAAACAGGCCGATAAAGCTGCACCCACCTAGAGAGTGGGGACAAGTATTCTTTTCCTCTTTGATATGAAAGGAAACTGAAAAAGAAGAGTTAAAAAGAACCAATTTTCTGAAGTCTACTCATTATCAGAGTTTTCAAAGTACTGTGTATTGCTTAGTCTTCAACATTCTCATCCTGCTCGTCCAAATAGACCTAAGATGGGGGTCTTAAAATTTTTGTGAGGAAGAAATGCCACTCATTGGCAACTAATAAAAGGCTTTTTCTCTGGGCAATTGCATTGCTGATAGAAACTGACTTTTAAAAGCAAAGATATAAATAAAATAATGAATGGACTTTTTCTATCTGGCCCCTTCACACTGCTTAACATTTCAGTTTTTACTAAGCAGGAGAGCAGTCATTTTATTAAGCATTCCCAAGATAAAATTACATCCTCAGCATCTAAAGGAGGTTAAAAAATAAATGAAAAATGAGACCCTTGTCCTCTAAGAACCAATTTGATATTTACTGTCGGGGGACTCAACCTTGTATTACTGCTAGAGACAGGCAGGACGTCACTTTCCTTGGGGTCAATGCAGGGTGGACTCTAGGCATTGGGACTGTCAGTATTACAAGGAACAGTGAATTCCCTATCGGATCATTTCAAATAGCTTATCTGAATAGGATTTTACTGGGAAAAAAATGACAAGCCCATATTTCTGACATTTAAATCACTCAAAGCAGTAATTTCTGTGGAGTGAGCTTCATAAGCTTTATTTGACTAAGCTTATTCAAGCATTACAACTGCATTAGTGTCAGCAAGCCATAGCTGATTCAGTAAAATAGGCTTTATAAAATTGTGGTTGCTTTAGAGCTCATGTTTTTGGAACCTACTAAGCAGCCTCCCTTGAATAGTATTGATCTAGGGTTATGCTCTGCAAGATATCTGCCATTCACTGTCTGCTTCTATCTTAGAAAAAAATAAGAAAAATGAAAAACAGTTTAGGAATCATTTTTTTCTTGCATAAAAATCACTTTCTTTTTTAATCTGATAACAACAGGGATACACATTATATATTCAAATTTGGATATTAAACTCATTGGTTCAGTGTTAGAGGAAGTTCTTCAAAAATAGCATCAATTATTTTACCCATGTTACTTCTAATTAAACATGTCTTCTTTCAAATACTCTACAAATCATAAAAAGAGCCAGATCATTAAAGAGTTTTGCTAAGGCAGTTTTCATAAGAAAACTACAATAGTTAATATGCTAGCCCCAAAATTGATCACAATTACATTGCTATAGGTTTATATAACATCTCTGCACCAGTGAAACTGAAAATCATCACACAAGCCAGATTTCTGGAGGTATATATGACTTTCTGAGAAATATTCCATCATTTCAGAAGCCACAATGGCTCAAAGAGCACTTCGGTAATAAAATGAGGCCATCTTATGAGTAGGGCTTAACAAAACTTAACCATGGGTGAAAGCTGACTTGTCATTTGGCAAAAAAATAAATGCTATGTTAGTTTGCTAGGGCTGACATAACAACATACCACAAACTGGGTGACTTACACACAACACAAATGTGTTGCCACACAGTTCTGGAGGAAGCGGAAGTCTGAAATCAAAGTATTGATAGGGTTCTTTCTGAGGCCTGTGAGGGAAGAATCTGTTTAAGCTTCTCTCTTTGGCTTGTAGATGGCTGGCTTCATGTTAACATGGCATTCTTCCTCTATGTGTTTCTGTCTCCAAATTTCCCCTTTCCATAAGGATACCAGTTATAATGGATTGGATCACACCTTAATGACCTAATTTTAACTTGATTACCTCTGTAAAGACACTATGACCAATTAAGATCATACTCTGAGTTTCTGGGAATTAGAACTTCAACATAAGGTTGTGGGAAGATACAATTCAACCTATGACAAATGTTATATGGTCTCCTCACCATACAATAAAATTATCTTTTAAAAGTTTAAGTTAAATGTACACCTAAGGCATTACTATTAATGAGTTGTGTAAAATAAAATTTTGATTAAATTGTAGAGGAAATTGATTCCTTCTCAAATTCCAGATGTAGCTGAAAACTGAAATCATCCAAGGGATGGCTTCTGGTCATAATTAGGTTAGCTGGATTAAAAAATATTTGCATGTAGAAAAGTGTATATTTTAAAAGATGTATGCATGTGTGCACATACATGCAAACACCATAGGTCAGTGAGGCATATGCCATCAACATATTTTAATGAAATGATAATGTCAGAATTCAGAGTAACTACAATTTGACCAGAAATTAAATGCAGCTATTTGTCCAAATTATTCATTTTTTCAATAAATTGAAATATTAGATTCTTTAAATAAGATTTTAACATTCAAATAACCCTATTATTTTTACCTTATGAATCTATAACTGTAAAAGACCACATATTTTATTCTTTCATCAAAAATCAATATTTGTGGATGCCTAATCCAGACTAATCCAGACCAAGGCACTAACTCTCTTCAATTCTGTGAAGGATAGAGCTTTCAGAGAAAGCTCTACTATAGGTTGTAGCTTTTATATAATTTAATTACATCATGTCATTTTAAAAATTGTTAAATTAAAATATTTACAATAAAATGTTTCTCCAAAGGAAACCCACTTTCTTCACTTATCCCAGAAAAAGAAAATTTTTATCTAATGATTTAAAAATGTCCAAAGCATGAATGTTACCAAACAGAATGAAATTCTGGTTATGTTTGTTAAATGATTCTACAATAATTTATTCAACAAAATCCACTACCCTCAGAACCTAAAATACAGGGATCATTTTAGGATTAATAAACAACTGAAAATTTATAGTATGAAATGCCAAAAAAATGCATTTTAATATATTTTTAGTATTATTTAGGTAGCATGACTTTAGTTTTAAAACATCAAGCTTATTAAATTTATCAATTAATCCTGAGAAATTCTAAGTTGTGAAAGGATCAAACCCCATTCTCTAGCAAGAAGGCCTGATATTTGAAACGAAAAGCAAACAAGCAAGTGAAAAAAAAAAATTCTAGAACATGGCTCCACCCAGAATATGCCTCTGTGGTATGCAAATAGCGTTAAGTTGTGCCATCTTGAGACTCACAGTTCCTTATACAGAAAATAATGAACATTTTTGAGTCTTTGGAATTCATAATAATGTTAAAATGTGTGTTATAGCAAAATAGCAACATTTCCTGGTGTCCTGCAAATTATTTCTCATGAAATTTAAACTGAGAATAATCTATAACATCT
This sequence comes from Homo sapiens, assembly GCF_000001405.40. Taxonomy (NCBI): domain Eukaryota; kingdom Metazoa; phylum Chordata; class Mammalia; order Primates; family Hominidae; genus Homo; species Homo sapiens. The sequence goes on from NC_000006.12 coordinate 123,595,167, forward strand.
AAGTCTTAATTATGTAAAGCAGAACATTTTAATGAAATCACTTATTAATTTATTCCATTGTTCATTTGTACTTCTCATAGTTCTTTTGAATAAAAGTCTTTTACAAACCTCATCATTCTAGTAGTGTTCCCTATGAAACAGGATTTTATTATTTTTTATATGACACTTTCTGCAGTCATATCCTTCTCAGACTGTACGATCTAAAGCAAGCTCTTGGTAAATGGGACAAAGCCAATTTGCCCTGCAGTGGATCCTGATGAAAGACTGACTAGTTACTAAGTGAACTTACCATAAAGAGATTTGGAAATCGAAGTGAGAAATTAAAAGCATACAAGTAAAGGCATACTACCTTTTATTGTGCTTCACTTTATCACATTGCAGATCCTGCACTTTTACAAATTGAGGGTTGTAGCAACCCTGCGTCCAGCAAGTCCATTGGCATCATTTTTCCCATAGCATGTGCTTGCTTCATGCCTCTGTGTCACATTTTGGTAATTCTCACAATATTTCAAACTACTCCATTATTATTACATCTGTTACAGTGATCTGTGATCAGTGATTTCTGACGTTACTGTTGTATTTGTTTGCACCCATTAATTGTTTACAGGCTCCATGAATCCCACCCATTCAAGAAGGTGAACTTGATTGATAAATGTTGTGTGTGTTCTGACTGTTCCATTAACTGGCCATCTCTACTCTCTCTCCCTCTCCTCAGACGTCCCTATTCCCTGAGACACAATCAAAATTAGGCCAGTTAATAACCCTACAATGGCCTCTAAATGTTCAAATGGGAGGAAGAGTTACACATCTCTTCTTTTAAATCAAAAGCTACAATGATTAAGCTTAGTGAGGAAGCCATGTTCAAAGCTGAGCTAGGCCAAAAGCTAGGCCTTTTGCACCAAACAGCTAAGTTGTGAGTGCAAAGGAAAAGTTATTGAAAGAAATTAAAAAGTGCTACCCTGGTGAGGACATAAATGATAAAAAAGCAAAACAGCCTTAATGCTGATCTGAAGAAAATTCAAGTGTTCTGAATAGATCAAACCAACCAAAACACTCCCTTCAGCCAAAGCCTAATCCAGACCAAGGCACTAACTCTCTTCAATTCTGTGAAGGCTTAGAGAAGTAAGGAAGCTGCAGAAGAAAAGTTGGAAGGTAGCAGAGGTTGGTTTATGAGATTTAGTGAAATAAGCCATCTCCATAAGATAGAAGTGCAAGGTGAAGCAACAAATGCTAATGTAGAGGATATATGCTGCGAGGTGTCCAGAAGATCTAGCTAAGATGATGGATGAAAATGGCTACACTAAACAACAAACTTTCAATGTGGATGAAACAGCCTTATATTGAAAGAAGATGCCATTTAGGATTTTTATAAATCAATTGACTCCTAGAGAGAAGTCAATGCTTGGCTTCAAAGCTTCAAAGGACAGGCTAACTCTATCATTAGGAGCTAATGCAGCTGGTGACTTTAAGTTGAATCCAATGCTCATTTACCATTCTGACAAACCCAAGGCTCTGAAGAATTATACTAAATCTACCTTGTCTATGCTCTATCAGTGGAACAACAGTTTTTTAATCTATCAGTGGAATGACAAATCCTGCATGACAGCACGTCTGTTTACTGAATATTTCGAGCCCAATGTTGAGACCTATTACTCAGAAAAAATATATGTATATATTTCTTTCAAAATATTTCTGCTTATTGAGAATGTACTTGGTCACTCAAGAGCTCTGATAGAGATGTTTAAGGAGATTAATGTTGTTTTTGATGCCCCCTAACACAAAAATCTTTTCTGTGGCCCATGGATCAAAGAGTAATTTTTATTTCTAGAGTTATTTTTTAAGAAATACGTTTTTGTAAAGCTATAGCTAGCGACTCTTTTCTTGGATCTAAATGAAGCAAATTTACAATCTTCTGGAGGATTCACCATTCTATATGCCATCAAAAACATTTGGGATTCAAAGTAGGAGGTCAAAATATCAACATTATCAGGATTTCCTTAACAGTTGATTCCAACCCTCATGATCACTTTAAGGGGTTCAAGACTTCCGTGGAGGAAACAACTGCAGATGTAATAGAAATAGGAAGAGATCTAGAATTAGAAGTGGAGCCTGAAGATGGAACTGAACTGCCGCAATCTCATGATTAAACTTGAACAGGTGAGGAGATGCTTTCTTATGGATGAGCAAAGAAAGTGATTTCTTGAAATGGAATCTACTGCTGGTAAAGATGCTGTGAACACTGTTGAAATGACAACAAAGGATTTAGAATATTTTATAAACTTAGTAAATTAAAAAACTGGCCTAGTTGTAGAGGATTATCTCCAATATTGAAAGAAGTTCTCCTGTGAGTAAAATGCTATCAAACAATGTTGCAGGCTATTGAGAAATCTTTTCTGAAAGTCAGAGTCCATCGATGCAGCAAACTTCATTGTTGTCTTTTGTTAAGAAATTGCCACAGCCACCCCAACCTTTAGCAACCACCACCATGATTGGTCAGCAGACATCAACATCAAGGCAAGACACTTTACCAGCAAAAAGATTATGACTTGCTGAAGGCTTTGATGTTTGTTAGCAGTTTTTAGAAATAAAGTATTTTTAAATTAAAGTGTGTATATATTTTTAGACATAATGTAATTATATACATAATAGACTACTCTATAGTGTAGATATAACTTTTATATGTACTGGGATACCAAAGAATTAGTGTGATTTGTTTTAATGAGATAATGGCTTTATTGCAGTGATCTGGACCTAAATCTGAAGTATCTTCAAGGTATTCCTGTATTATTTTTTCCTTTGAAGATGACTTTAGTTCCTATGAAAATAAAGAATAATTAGAAAAGATCTTATCAGATTATTTTAATAAGGCATTAAGAATATGCCATGGCTCCACAGCAAAAGGTTGTGGATGGAGCAGCAAACTGGGTGCTGGAAGAAGAGTTTGCTGGGGACCCTAGAGGTATCACTTCATTTGTCTAAAAACTAGTCATTTTCTGCAAATGTAAATCAGGGACTGACCCTCCCTTCTACAGTGACCAAGATCAATGGAAAGTGAAAGCATGTAATATTCAAGGTAAATAGCAGTACTCAGTAAGTGCCCTTAAGGGAATGTACCCTATAGCAAAATCCTAAGTGCAATAGACACGCTATCGTGAGGTTGAAGCAAAAATAACAGATCGTATTGTATGTATATTTTCCACTTCCATATTTAAGGCCCTGTATATAGTCTCAACATTACAAAAAAAACATGAAGTATCAAAGATTGCACACTACGTTTAAGAAACCCTAGCTCCCATTACTCATCCCTTCTAGTTGTATACTCCAGCAAACCCAAAACCTGTGTGAATCCTGGGACTCACAGTGATCTCTCAGTTCTTATGAATTTGAGTATTCTGCATCTTAAATCTGAAATAAATTCACCTGATTGTCTACCTTGCTACCTACTCCCTTTGCAGGACTCAAGTTTATTGGAACATAGCCACACCCATTCATTTTCATATTGCATTTTGTCTATTGTCTATGCGTTCCTCCCACAGTGGCAGAGTTGAGCAAGAGTGATATAGACCATACAGCCCACAAAACCTAAAACATTTACTAACAGGCCCTTTACAAAAAGAGTTCGCCAATTTCTGCTCTTTTAATCTAGAAAAGTAACTGACATAGTAAAAACTTTAAAAAGTATTACATGTTTTTTAAATTTGGTAGTAATAATTTAAGCCAGCATTTCATAAATATGAATCAGGCATAGGAGAGGCATATGGCACAGGAAATAAAAGTAGTGCTAGGATGGGACAGTGCTGGGTTTGAATCCTAACTTTGTACTAGCATCTGCACCTCGGTGTTCTCTATAAAACAGATCATTAAAACTACCTCATAGGATGATCATAAAAAATAGTTGCAGTACTTAGCAATATGTCAGGCACAATAGCTGTTAACTCTTCCCTTTAATGACAAACTCCCTAACTATTAATTGATAACAATGATAAATATTCTTACATATAAATATGGCTTTCTACAATGTCTCTCTGAGGGGAAATTACTTCAGCTCTATCCATTTATTCTTTGCTCTGTACATGAAATTCTAAAATTCTGAGATTAAACTGCTTTTTCGTGGATATGATCATTGGGGTTATATAACTGAGAATATAAGCCCTGGAGGCTTAGAGTTTCATTTATTTGAAGAGCCTTTACATTGCAAAGTACACAACTGATGCTAAACTCATTCATAACTACCATTGCAATAAAGCCATGAGATGTAAATAATTCAGAAATTTATTTCTTCAACCAATGTTCAGAATGCATAATAGGTAAAACTATGCATTTTCATTCATGTAAAAATCATACTGTTTTTAATGCATTCACTACCAATTGCAAAAAAGCACATTATTGCCATTTTTTTGTTAATCCCTTTCATAATTTGGTGCTATTTTTTTTTTCTAAATAAGCATTATGTCCTGAAAGATTTCTGTAAGGTGGTTATTTGGAGCACAAATGTATTTCCCCATTTTGATTAAAGAATGTATGAGGGTTGGTTATGGTCTCAGTATCAAAACCTTTTTAATATTATGCAACCTACCAAAATCTTTTTAGTATTATGCAGCTGAATTGTTACACAAATAAAACTCTAGACATCCTCACACTTTTAAATATGTTTGCATTTTATCTAGTGTGGAGCAAGTGCTAGTCAGCTCAAGCTTCAGTTCTTTCAGGAAGCCATGGATATATGCCTCCGAGATGAGATAAATGTCCTTCCTGGATGTTTCCAGAATACCCTTTTTGCACATATTGGCATATTATATTGCAATTGCCTGTTTATGTTTCCAGATCTCCCATTAGAACATAAGCTCCTAGAAGCTTCTCATATTCATTTGTATACCTCTGGTGCCCAGCACAATGACTGGCACTAAGCAAATGTTATTGAATTGGTGTGCAGAGTTGAATACTGAATGCCACATGATGCCTTTTATGGAATAGATGCTCCAAAAATGTGTACTGTATTAGAAATGAACCCCTTTGTGCCCTTTTGTGTTACCGTTCCCAGGCATTTATTCCAGGAGCATGTTTTGTATCTGAACCTGTATCACCAGATCCTCACGGTATCTGAAGACTTATTAATGTGAATAAGCAGAGTGCTCTCCCTTCCCTTAAGCTAAGCCCCCAGAGGGTCTGCATGTAGAACACCATTGAATCTTAGCCACTGCAATAGAATCTCCAGGAGTAGGAGCTGAGAAAGGAGGAATGCCCTCCTCAGAATGGAACCCGGGTTGGGTGTGTAAAGGGGAAAGATTTAGCTTCGGACAATGATGATGGCGCTGTGCAGTGGACAATGGAGAAAATGGGTGGAGTCCTGGCAGTGGGGGCCTGAAAAAAGGGCAGGAAGCTTTATTATGGGAAAGGGATGGGGACATAATCTGAGGGAACAGAAATAGTGGTAGCTGTTCTCAGTTTTTCTGGGCCCTGAAGTTTTGTTCTGGTAGAGACACACGGGGATATGAAGTGCATTCAGTTTTGTGTCCAAAAATATTGACCGCTCTGGTTATACAGCAGTTGGAGAGGCAGTAGAACATTCATCATTCAAAATCACAAATAACTATAAGTATTGTTGAGAGACGTTCATAAGTACAGGGATAATTCTACTGTCCAGTTTTTGCTTCCCACATTTAAACTCTAGAGAAAAGAATTCTGCCTTTGTTTAGCACAATTACATCTATTGAATAGTATTATATGCACTTTTGGCTGTTAGCAAATTGTTTTAAAAACAAAAAAATTATTATTTATATGTACTTATCAGTTAAATACTGAACATAACTGAAAAGTTGCAAATATGAAAATACTTGGAAAAACATACATGTTGTATCTACCTAATTCCTTATTTTTTCCCCACTCTCTCACCAGAAAAAGTAGACAATTTATCTGTGTTATTATAAAAGGCTGGCCAAGAAAGGCTATTTAAAGTATACCATAATCAATTTTGTGATGATGACTATTAAATATATGCATATCCATTTTTAATAAAGATATCAGTATTAAAGTTTTATATTTTTCTGGATGCACAGCAGAGATAGAATTTAAGTAGGTAACAAAATGTCCTGCATTGACAAGTCTGACTTTTGAGGACCAAAATTTATCAACTTTCTATGAACAGCATAATGCTTTACCTTACAACAGGTTAAAGAAACTCAGAGTGATATGTTGTCATCAACACCTTTTGTTCACCCCTGTGGTATGCATACCCATAGGATTTAAGAAGGACAAAGTTGCAGCCCTTTCTGTACATTGAATAGCAGGTTTCATCATAACAGGGACTATATTTTTTAACACTAAATCGAATATAATGGAGAATCAATGGTGATCTTTGCCATGGCTCCAGTTACTCCACATGCCCCATTGGTGCTAATTGGTAAAAGGAGTTCCCTCCTCTAAGCAGTCAGGGCTGCTACACCAGAGCTCAGTGTTTCTTGCAGAGAGAACATGTCAGATTTGCACACATTCTCACTTCTTTGTCCAGGCATCCTTCTGCAACCTGTGGCAATCCCAGTTTTGATCTACATGAACTGGGGAACTCTAAGCTGGCAGGTAACAAAAGACCACTTCAAAAGTTTTTACTTGTTTGTTAGGTTAACAATATTATATTAATACATTTGTGCAACACTTCAGTTTGTTACACAATTCACATACATCATATCAACTGATCTACTTGAGGTTGGTTGGCAGCTAGTCTCATTCTCACTTTAGAAAGAGGAAACTGAGGCTCAGAAACATTATGTGATAAGTACTGGAAAATGGTGGTATCAAGACTAGAACTCAGAGAGCTAGACTTTATCAATTCTATTAGCTGGAACTAAGGTATCAAGAATAATTGTAAATACCTAATGAATGGTAACTATATGTCAGGCACCATTCTAAACACTGGCAATATAGTCCCTGCTCTCATGACGTTTACATTCTAGTGAGGAGAAGTTGCATTTGAATCTGTTTTTTAAAAAATAAGTTTGAATAAAAATATATAACCAACCTAAATGCCCATCAACCAACAAATGATAAAATGTGGCATACATACCCCATGGAATACCACTCAGCCATAAAACAGAATCACGTAATGGCCATTCCAGCAACTTGGATGGAGCTGGGGGCATTATTCTAAGTGAAGTAACACAAGAATGGAAAACCAAATATCATATGTTCTCACTTATAAGTGAGAGCTAAGCTATGAAAATGCAAAGGCATTAGAATGATACAATGGACTTTGAGGACACAGAGGGAAGGGTTGTAGGGGGGAACGAGGGATAAAAGACTACATATTGGGTACAGTGTACCCTGCTCAGGTGATGAGTTCACCAAAATCTCAAAAACAACTACTAAAGAACTTATCTGTGCAACCAAAAACCACCTGTACCCCAACAATTATTGAAATAAAACTAAAAAATGAGTTTGAAGAGCAAAGAGGGGTACCCCAACTCAGCTGACTCCAGGAGTTACCCTATCTCAATGTATTTCCTTCCATGTGAAGGGTACTGCTGACAACACAGAGAAACTGAACTCCATGAAAATCATACTACTTAGGATAAACTTCCCTCTCCCTGCACTTATGGTGGAAAGAGCACCTTTTAAAAGGAAGCTCTTGTTATTTCCATATGTCAGTGGACTAGCACTCACAGCCCAGGACAAAATCTCAAACCAGCAACAAAGTAAAAACAACTTAATTACTGTGTTATTCATACACATCAACGACTTCATGCTATTACTTCAGCCAAAGGACAGTTATTTAAAAAAAAATCAGTATGTGATTTAGATTTATGAGATTATGCAGCAGCACTAAACTGAATTTTAATGTTGGATGTATTATTTAATCTAACATTAGTTCTCACTTAAATTTCAGATATTCAGAACTCAGACCTTTGTTATTCCAAGGACTAATGTATAACAAATGGATAAATCAAAGAACTACTGAAATCCAGTCACAACCATAATAGTATTTATTTTTACTTTTTTCTGTGTACACATAATCTAAACTAAGATCACAGACACACAATTAGAACTAGAAATGAACAGGCTGATTTAGTCTTAGTCTTATCTCAGAGGCCACAGGAAAAATGTCAACACTTGATTTTTATCTTTCTAATCAAACCCAATGCATATCTTATCCTTTACTGAAACTTTAGTACTATAAATTATGTTCAGAGTTATCTCCCTTCCTCTCAAAACTTCTTTTATTTACATATATACCTGTTTTACTCTTTTTTTTTCTGTATTGAGGTCTGTGATGATTTTTCAAGACACTTTATTTTGGTATTTGTTTTGTTTTTATACCATAGCTAAATATTATAAAATGGGATCAATTTATTTACTTATTTATTCAATTATCCCTCCAACATTCATGCATTTATTCTTTCATACATTCATTTATCAGATGTTTACTAAGCACTTACTATGTTCCAGACATTGTTTCATGTTATGATAATGAAAAAGACGGACCTAGACTCTATACTCCTTAATTTTTAAAGATTTGAGATTCTTTATACTTTGCTTACTGCCATTGTCCATGTTCCATAGATTCTGAACCCTTTGCTGATAATGACAACTGGAAATTCCCTTGGATATCTACTTTGCAATCACTTCGTAAAAGTTAGATCTTTCCAGAAATTTTTACCTCACAGCATGCATTTCTGAAGATATCATTGGGCATAAACTGAAATTAGCAATTCACATGCATCTAATAATCTACTTTTCTCAAATGCATCAGTTCCAATAATGTACTCACCCCTACTGATATTTTCCTATATGTTGTTTAGAAAATGTAATTAGAGTTAATATTTTTATCAAAAGGAATAACATTATACCTATCTGGAATAAACAGATGAGTTACCGAAAGATTGCTACAACTAACTCAACTACTGAATTTGTCCCCTTTTATCATTTGACAAATGAATATTGAGTGCTTACCGCGACAGTGTTGGACACAGAAAAACAAGATCTGATCCTTCCCTCAAGGGTCTTAGAGACTGCTGAGGCAGACAGAGAAGTGAGCCATAATCACAGCACTGTTAATCGTGTGACCCTGTCACGCACAGGCTGCTGTGGGAACATACTGTGAGGAGGACAACTAAGCCAGGGAAAGGGGCAGCATGTGTAAAAGCTTAAAGAATGAAAGAAGCCTACATTCATGACATTGCAGGTCTATTCACATTGCCGGAGGCAAAGACACTTGTAGCAAAATGGAGAGGGAAAAGGATAAAGAGATAGGTAGGCAGAAAATACATTTACAATGCCTGCGAGTGCTGAAATGAAGAGGCTGGACTTCATAACAAACAACACAGCAAGCCAGAGCTAAATATTACAGAAGGATCTTAATCATATTTGTATTTTGGAAAGCTTATTTAAACAGCTGGGCACAGTAGTTGGGGTAAGACTCAGAAGCTAAATTAGAAGATTTTGCAGAAATCTAGGGTTTTTGTGATAAGAGGCCAAACTCTCAGAATGACACGAAGAATAGAGAGAAAGAGATGGAATTTTAAAATATCCAGGAAACAGTGTCTGCAGGACTTAAATTGTTTGATGATTAGAGAGTGTTTGTGTTGGGAGGGGTAATGATATGATAAATCGAGGGTGGGGAAGGTCAATGATTTGATTATTAGTGTTCTATTTCTAGAAAGTAGGTAAATAAACAGACAGTGGTGTCATTCACCACTACGGGAAATCAAGGAAAACAAGTAAGTTTGCTGGGGAAAATTATGAATTTATAGTCACTAGAATAGATTAGTACCTAGATGGGAAAAATAATGGTCATTTCTTAGTTCTTAATATTTTATATTATTGACAAATATGCCAAACACGTAAACACTCACACATATCTCATTGTGTGCACAAGCAGATGTGATTTGCATATCATTGTTGACTAGATGCATGTAGATATATTTGTTTACAAAATAAGATTTTAATTTGAGAGGTAAGCTGTCATCATTGTGACTCTTGTAACAAAGTAGCCAGGTGGTATGTTGCCTTCTATCCTCATTTTATTCTAAATGATACATTGTCAAAATAAATATTTTAATAATTATTTAATAATTATTATTTCCATCAAATAATTATTTATATATAAATATATATTTATATATAATACATATAAACACACACATATATATAAACATATATGTATAAAATATACATTAACTCTTTCTAGGGCTAGGCAAAACTCCTCTGAACATATTGGAGAGAAATAAGCAGATATTTTAGAAGAAAGCCTGAAATAATTGACATAACACATCAGATGTGTAAGATGATTCATATGATTCAAGACGGTTTAGTGATGGCAGCCAACAACAAATAAAGATGTTTTTGGGCCAGGCGTGGTGGCTCATGCCTGTAACTCCAGCATTTTGGGAGGCCTAGTGTTCGAGACCAGCCTGGGCAATATGGCGAAACCCTCTCTACAAAAAAAAAAAAAAAATATTAGCCAAGTGTGGTTGTATAGACTTATAACCCAGCTACTCAGGAGACTGAGGCAGGAGAATTGCTTGAACCTGGGAGGCGGAGGTTACAGTGAGCCGAGATTGTGCCACTGTACTCTAGCCTGGGTAACAAAACAAGACTGTCTCAAAAACAAAAACAAAAGCTTTTTAATAATAAAAGATTGCATTCCTGAAGAAATTAATATTTGTAAAATTTATAACCATAGTTTAATTAACTTTTATGCCTATTAAGCCTCCTATTTTGTTTTTGATGGTTAGCATCACTGAGTAAAATTTTCAAGTTTAAGTTTCAGTGGCATGGGCAGAGACTGGCCTCATTATCTCTGTGAAAGAGGAAGCCAAGCCAATGATCATTATTGGAAAATCAATCCTTTCAAATGTGTGCTCATTCAATGTTACCAAACTGAAGTTTATCTCCTAGTTTCCTGTGAATAAAGAATTTGCTAAATATATTTATAGTGCAAGCAAGATAAAAATGACATTTAATGAAATTATAAAGAACAAAATTAAATAATTTAGTAGAATGAGAAAGACCGTAAGGAGATTTTTCAGTAGTTTAAGTATCAACTTTATTATTTCTAACATAATCAAGTATCACTCATATTATTTTTAATATAATCTGAAAAATATTTTAATGATTTAATCCATACATACATATACATACATTTTATATAAGTGCATAAATACATCTGACCAAATATAGACTTCTATTGAACAAGCATGGTTTTTTTCCCTTTGTTTCCTATTTGCTTTTTTTATGCCATAATTTGTTGTACCATAGATTTTGTGTGTGTATGTGTGTGATGGACATATGAATATGTCCATCTTATTAAAAAGTATATCTTAAATTTTCATTCTCAGGAAGTTCCTCATCATTAGGCTTTACATATAATTTTCTAGTTTAGTCAACACTTTTATTGTTTTATTTTTATATTTAAGATGTTATTCTTTCAGTAGTTACTCATATATGGTAGAAACAGAGGTTCACTGATTTTCTTCCTGATATATAAATGTGTCCATGCAGTATTTATTTAATAACCCATTTTTAATCATAAGCCAAATATTCTTTGTTATGTATAAATCTACAATATTTTAAAAACTTTTATTATGTAGCAATTTTCAAAAAATATAGCTTCATCTAGCTACAGTTATAAATTATGGGTTAGATGTGCTAGTTATATTGCTTCTAATAAGTATTCAAAGAAATGTATGACTATTAAAATAGAAATGCTCATCTTTATACTATATACAATCATCTTTACCATTAGTGGCACATGTTACATGTTGGCAAGCACTAATCTAGATACTGAGGTCCCCTGGGAACTTGTTGCCTCTGGGAGTCCCCCCACACATTGATAAGCCTGAGTTTTTGCCTTTGCCTCCACTGAAAGAATCTTGAGGGTTCTCTTCTTACAAAACAATTTGAAAACACTGCAAAGCTTTCAGACACAGTCACAAGTGGTTCTCAAAAAGAAACTGAATTCAATTACAGTACTGGATTATTGTATTAATTAGGGATTACTTTATTGATTCATTTTCATAAATTATTTCTTAATGAATTTCTGCTTCCATTATGAGGTACATGGTCTTTAACATTTTAATTCTGCTAATTTGGAAATGTGAAAGTAAATATGCTTCGTAGACTAAACTCAATGGGACTTATAAAAGCAGCATTGTGCTGGAAGGACATAAACTCACTATTGTTGGTAAAAAATAAAATAGGTTATTAATGTTGATATATGCCTATGAAGAAACTCAGAAGAAACCTCAAAAGAGATTCAGAAACTGTGATCATATACTTTCTCTATATATACAGATTACATTAATTTAGAAGATTACTGGGCCTTAACATGTGGAGATTGTATTTTCAGCACATGGCCCTCTGCTGTATCAAACAAGCGTTTGGATAAAGGTTGTAGTCTCTCCGCACATGGCTTGTGTTTGAATTTACAAACATGTCATTTGTGTTGCTGCAGCAAGATTTTGTTTTTAATCGTCAGATGCTCTCCATATAGAAATTATACAACTTGCAGATTATGTTTATTTGCCATATTCATAAATTCTGATTTACAACCTGAAGATACTTTCATTTGTAAGGAAAATATTAAAGCCTCTTTCCTTTACTGTTAAGCTATTTCATGGCTTCACAGTCTACTATGTTCTAGACATGTAACTTTATTAATGGCACATTCAGATTTATGCTTTCTCTTTTAGTCTTTTTTTTTTTTTTTTTAATTAGAGATGGGGCCTTTTATGTTGCCCAGCCTGGTCTTGAACTCTTGGCCTCAGGCAATTCTTCCACCTCGGCCTCCCAAAGTGCCTGGATTATAGGCATGAGCCTCCAAGCCCAGCCCAGACTTATACTTTCAAAATAGCTTTTACTATGAAGAAGTGCCAATAAGGTGTCAACTATACTCCAAAATTTACTAACTGCAAGTGAAAATAATGATATTGAACTTAGGAGCCTGAGATAAATGTGATACTTCAAATGGGCAACCTTATATACATATATCATATATGAACTCAGACAACATGGGCTCAATTCCTTTCTGTACATCTTACTAACTGATTGATTGGGTAAATTATTTAGTATCTCTGTACTTTAAGTTCCTTATCTTTAAGTTTCATTATTAATATGCTCTATCTTCTAGGGCAGCTATGATAATTTAATTTAAAAAATACTTGTCAGTCACTTGCAATTCTATCCTGATCCCAGCACGGTCTTCAAAAGTGTTATCTTCTTGCCAATTTCACTTTAGCCTTCTTAAAACATTTTCACGAGAGTTGTGTTTATCATAAATATCTTAGTGAAAAAATGACTAAATCAGTGAGAATTGAAAGCAACTTAGTAAAGGGCTATATATTTCAAATATATGGTTATAACTCATTTGAATTTGGCAAAATTTATCCTGAAATGTGTAGGCATTTCACAAAAGAAACAATATTGAACAATAAATGGTAAACCTCAATCTCATTATGCAACTTTAAAAATGATATGTTTTTTCTTATATCATCAGAAAACATTCAAAAGTACATTCACAGTATTGGAAAAGGTATGAAGAAATGAAGATTAACATATTGAATATGGTTGTTAAAACTGGGATACGTTTTCTGGGGAAAATTTATCATTATGTCAAATGCTTAAAATCATATGTCTTTGAATCAGCATTTTAAAGTTTTACAAAGGAATGAATCACTGAGCAAAAATATGATCATTTCTGTATTGTTTATACTCATGAAAAAAAAATGGAAGCAGGCTGGGCTCGGTGGCTCACACCTGTAATCTCAGCACTTTGGGAAGCCGAGGCAGGCAGATCACTTGAGGTCAGGAGGTCATGACCAGCCTGGCCAACATGGTGAAACCCCGTCTCTACTAAAAATACAAAAATTAGCAGGGCATGGTGGTGTGCGCCTGTAATCCCAGCTACTTGAGAGTCTGAGGCAGGAGAATCACTTGAACCCAGGAGGCGGAGGTTGGAGTGAGCCGAGGTTGTGACACTGCACTCCAGTCTGGGTGACAGAGGGAGACTCCATCTCAAAAAAACAAAAACAAAAAGAATGGAAGCAGTATTCAACAAAAAAGGATCAGCTAAGTAAACAATATAATGAAATACAATATATCCATGCATATATATGTGGAGTAAAACTTATATTTACTGATAGGAAAAAATTCAAGAAATTTTTATTAGAGAACTCATCATAAAACATTAGTCAGCATAACCCCATTTTTGTAAAAATATATAATTATAACATACATGTGAAAAGAAATTAGAGGAGTATAATATAGTTATAATGATGAGTGTATCTTTTTTCTATTTTCTGTACTTTCTTACTTTTATAACTCAAGCATATGTTATTTGTGTATTTATAAAAAAAGAAATCCATCTTGCCAATCTCAAACTGCTTGATAAACACTTGTTTATTAATTACATGAGAGAATTAAATATAAGTTGGCAAAACACAGATGGAACAAAATTAGGGAATTAATCACTTCTCTCTTTGTTCTTCTCCAAACTGACTTGAATTGGTTCTTAAAGACTTCACTCACGTATCTCCTCTAAATAGAATTTATTCCTGAGAATGTTCCCACTTTTGTCCCTAGCCTATGGGCTGGTATCCTACTTATGTGCTATCATGATATTGCGTGCATGAATCATAATTGTTCTCATATAAAGTTTATAGATATATTACATTAAAATTCCTGTCTTTCCACCCTACCAGTCTCTATTCCTAGCTCCTTCTACTGTATCTAGCTAAAAAAGGAGGCACTCGGTATATGATTGTTCAGTGGATGGATGATATATAAGAAACTTTCCAAATAATTAGAAGTAAATTTATACTAGAAGTCCTGAAATAAGCTTTTTCAATAAACTAAAGTTACAACTGGAGAATAATTTTATATGGAACAACCACAAGTGATTTCAAAAATAGCTTTAATTTTCACCTGTCCAGTTGACTTCACAAGTGAACGGAATGATTTCTTGCATGCAATAGCTATTAAGAGTCTCCAAAATATACTGAAGTTTCACAAGTGCCATGTCTAATGATGCCTCAGTAAATGCCAGGGTATTAAAAATGTTAGAGAAAATAGAGATAAAAATGAATATACCAAAGAACAACATGGCTCAGCCATAGTAATGCACCATTCTCACTGTGAATTTCTTTCTTCCCTTAAAACAGGTCCCAGCTTCAAATCAATGCAGCCTCTATTGCTTCCTGATGCTTGATAACATCACTTATGTTGCCCAGGAAGAGCTTTGAGTTACTGATGACTCTCATTCCATGTCGCTATGTGTTCATTCACTCTGCAATGATTTACTGAATGCCTTCTATGTACCAAGCACTCTGCCAGGTGCTTGGGTACAAAAGGTAAGCAATTTTTTTCATAGTCGCTGTCTTTACTGGGCCAAGAGTAAGTGACAGAGATATCTATTAAATAATCATATAAATGAACAATTGTATCTGTGACAAATGCTACAAATGAGACATATCCATGCTATGAGAGCCTATAATGTACCTTCATTTTAAACAGCGACAGTTGGACTATGAGTAGAAGTTAATGCAAGACCAGACACCAAATGCCTCCTCTTTTTCTTTTAAGTATGGGGACTCTCTGGAAACAAAGTTAAATGAATGTGGTCCCTCATGTTTTTCATAACATTTAACAAAAGAAAAAAACTGCATTAAGTTTATTTGAGCACCAAAGTGGGACTCCTAGAGTCTAAATACATCTAGGAGAGCAGATCAGATCCTAAAAATGTGCCACAGATTTGAGAGGCCCCAAAGTAGAAGACCCAATTAAGTCACACCCAGACTCCTGACACAGAGAAACTGTGGGATAATCAAGACTGCTACTTTAAGCTGCTGAGTGTGATAACACTGTAGCACAACAATAGAAAAATAACACAAGGGCCCAATAAGCTGAATCAACTCTGAGAAGACTATTTACCTTAGTCATTTGTGAGCATTCTTAGAGCTGAAAGAAGTAATTTACTTAGGAACTTCATAATTCCTGTAAAATACTAAAATGTGATTAGTATGCAAATGAAAATTGAAAAGTAAAACCTCAATGTATAAAAATAAGGTTTTACTTTAAATTCTAAATCTGATAAATGCAAATGCGAATACTTTTGGAATAACCAAGAGAACTGAATTGAGTAGAACAAAAATTACGCTATATTCACAAGATATGAGAGGGCAAAAAAGAACAATGTAACAGTTGCCCACACTGTAGTCTGCTTAAGTTAGAGGGACATTATAATCTTTACTATTATGAATAAATAAAAATGAAATAATTTTTATGTATTATCCATTTTATGTATGTATGATTCATGCATACACCTATGTAGATTTATAATTCTTTAGCGCTCCCATAATGTTTGATCAACATAAGATAAAAGAAATAAATTCATATTTATGATGTCCTATTATGTATAAGACAGTGCTGGTACTTTCATATATATAGTATATGAACTGTCATTGTAATCGTTCTATCATAGATCAAAAAAGCTGCATTTCAGAAAGAAAACATGGATAAGTCACATTGTGAGTACAGGATTTTAGATCTATGATTGTCTGACTCTTCATACAATTTTTTCACCAAATATTCTTGATACACAGAGCTGATATTTAGTCAGTAAGCACAAGCACAGAATCAAGGCTGGCATTCCATCTAATTAGTTTGGTGGAGATTTTTGGATCAGTCAGAACCTTTGCTTTATCTGATAATAAAGTTTGAAATATCACATCTACACATTCCCAAAATACACTATTGAGATTTGCACATAAGAAGTTAATATGACTAAAAGTCTGGAAATAATATACAGCATATGAAGAAAAGTTTTTCTTGGTTCAAACCTTTCAACTTAAGTCAAAAGCTAAGAACGATGTTCAAGATTAGTGTTCTACAAAACAAAGAGTCTCTATAAAGACAGTGGTGATCTGCCATTTTCAAGTTCGAAAATAGAAGAGGGGGCCGGGCGCAATGGCTCACACCTGTAATCCCAGCACTTTGGGAGGCTGAGGTGGGTGTATCGCCTGAGAGGTCACAGGAGTTCGAGACCAGCCTGGCCAACATGGTGAAACCCGGTCTCTACTAAAAATACAGAAAAAAAAAAGTTATCTGGGGTGGGGGGAGGGGGGAGGGATAGCATTAGGAGATATACCTAATGCTAAATGATGAGTTAATGGGTGCAGCACACCAACATGGCACATGTATACATATGTAACAAACCTGCACGTTGTGCACATGTACCCTAAAATTTAAAGTTTAATAATAATAAAATTTTAAAAAAAGGAAATAAGAACAGCAATCCAAAAAAAAAAATTATCTGGGCATGGTGGTGGCGGGCGCCTGTAATCCCAGCTACTCGGGAGGCTGAGTAAGGAGAATCACTTGTGTTAAATCTTAACAGGAGAGATTTAGGAGAGGACATCTTTTAAGTGCAGTGGCTGTTCACATGCCTGATCATCATGTATCACAGCTTTGAACTCCTGGCCTCAAGGGATCCTTCCACGTCAGGCTCCCAAATAGCTGGGACTACAGGCACGCACCACTGTGCGTCAAGATGAAGACATCTTGACATAAGTATGGTTAGGCACAAGTAGTTTTCTAAGGAAAATATTGAGTACCAGTGCGTGGAAATATTTAACTATAGGGTAGATATTAATTTTCTTTGACTTTCTCACAGTTTAAGCATATTCCTGCCTAGGGACAGTAGACAGACTAGAAGTAGTCTCCAGGCACATAATTTTTTAACATGAATAACACTTGTGTCTTATATGAAACTGCTTGAGGTGGTCTTCAATTCATTCCAACTCTATTTTTCTATAATTCCACCTACTTATCATCATGACATTTCTTTCTCATCATAGAAATAAAATCAATAACTGAATACAGCATAAAATTAGATGTATCAAATAACAAGGAAAAGTAGTACATTTGGTTAATGACCTAAAATAAGTACAAAGGACGACTGCATCATCCTTCACTTACCAAAGCATTGGGAAATTTTATGCATTGAACAAATCTGAGGCTCATATTGTGTGCCAACAGTATCCTAGAAAACAGACTCATGATTTGGGAATGGTCAGCTAATGCCAAACTTTCCATGAGCAAAATCCCAACTTACATTAAAACTGGGAAACATTTCCAATTTCAATTAAAATAAACGTAATGATTTGGTATCAGTTTAATGAATAAATACATTTCAGCATATATTTGCACGTTTTATGTTTCCTAATTATTACAAGGAATTAAAAATTTATCACTCTTAACAGAAAGAGAGATGAGCATATTTTTCAACACTAATCCATTAAAGGTAACACTATTAATTAATCCACTATTTTATTCTGCTCAATGAACTCAATTATTCAGAGCTTAGTTGAAACTTTTTTTTTAAATTAAGCATGGAGACAGCTTGCAGTGCCTTGTAGAGAGAAATGTGTTCAGAAGTGTCAAACCTAATACAAGACACCAGATGATATTCAGTAAATATAAATTGATAGTAATTGATAATATTTGTGTTAAAAAGCATCAAAATAAAATGTCTTACAATTAATATCCATTTAAAACATCTAAGCCTTCCAAAGCCATCATAAAAGTATCATTGAAAGGTGAAAAAATTGTTTTTAGATTTGGCAGGATTGAAACTATTTGATGCCACATAACAATGAATATGAGTTGGATGGCACACAAATAACCAGTATTGTGAACTTTCCTTCTTAAAAAGGCTCATATACATTCTTTCAAAAGTCACATAAAAGATAAATGATAAAAGAAAATCTTCTTCCTCTGGTCCTTTCTCACAGGATATCCATTGGTTTATTCATTTCAGTTGAAACCTAGAGACTGGAAGCTAAAGCAGAGTTATTTTCTAGTCACCCTTTAAGATGCTCTAGGATATTGCTACTCAAACTGTGCTCTAAGACCAGCACCTCCTCAGTACCTGGGGGGCTTGTTAGGAATGCAGGTTCTCAGGCTCCATCCCAGAACTACTAAATCAGAACCTGCCTTTTGACAAGATCCTCAAGTGATTCATATACATGTTAAGGTTTGGGAGGCATGGCTGTAGGTATGTATAAATCACTTCCTGCTTTAAACTCCCCACCATATGATTAACATAAGAATGTTACCGTGGGAAAGTGCTTCATTAAAAAAAAAAACAAAAAAAAAAAAAACAAAAAAAACCCTCAAATTGACCATTTTAATATGAATTCAAAGATATACAAAATGTAAATTTAGAAAATAAAACATACTTGCAATGTTATTCTAGAATAGAAATATTAAAACTAGCTACTGACTTTAAGCTACTGTTATACTATTACACTATTATATATAAAAATACAATTTTAGAAAATTATTTTTAATTACACTTATTGAAGATATTTATATCAATATTATAACTGCAGAATGGTCAAATATTTTTGAAAAACGTAAGTGTATTTAAAATTTTAATCTAAATTTATTTTAAATTAAAGTTTAATTTTAAATTAAAATTTATGCAAAAATTAACTCAAAATGGATTAAAGACTTAAATGTAAGGCCTGAAACCATGAAACTACAGGAAAATTTAGGGGAATTCCTTTAAGGCAATGGTCTGGGAAAACATTTTATGGAAAAGACCACAAAAGCACAGGAAACAAAAGCAAAAATAGACAAATGGGATTATATCAAACTAAAAAGATTCTGCACAGCAAAGGAAACAATCAACATAGTAAAGAAATAACCAACAGAAAAGAATAAAAGATTTGCAAACTATTTGTTTTATAAGATATTAATGTCCAGAATATACAAGAAACTCAAACAATAGCAAAAACAAATAATAAACAAATAGTGTGATTAAAAACCTGGCAAATGAACTGAATAGACATCGCTCAAAAGATACATACAAATGGCCAACAGGTGTATGAAAAAAATACTCAACACCACGAATCATCAGTGAAATGTAAATGAACACCATAATGAGATATCTCACTCCAGTTAGAATGTCTATTATCAAAAAGACAAAAGATAATAAATAATGGCAAGGACATGGAGAAGGGAACTCTCACACACTGTTGGTGGGAATGTAAATTAGTGCAGCCATTATGAAAAATAGTATGGGGCTTCCTCAAAAAACTGAAAATATAACTACCATTGATCCAGGAATCCTACTACTTGGTATATATCCAAACGAATTGAAATCAGTATGTTGAAGAGATAACTGCACTCCCAGGTTTAGTGTGGCACTATTCATGATAACCAAGATATGTAATCAACCTAAGTATCCATCCACAGATGAATGAAGAAAGCAAATGTGGTGTATGCGTCTGTGTGTGTATATATGAATAATGGAATGTGTGTGTGTATGTGTGTGTGTGTATATATATAATGCCCATTCACGTTTGAAAAACATGTATATACACACACACACACACACACACAATGGAATATTATTTGTCCCTAAAAAAGAATGAAATCCTGTCATTCACAGCAACGTGGATGAGCTATGTCAAGTGAGATAGGCTAGACACAAAAAGACAAATATTATTTGTTCTCACTCATATGTGGAAGCTATAAAAGTTGATCTCATAGACGTAGAGAGTAGAATAGTGGTTACTAGAGGCTAGAAAGTGTGGGGATGTGAGGATAGCCAAAGGTTGGTTAATGGATATAAAACTCCAGCTAGATAGGAGGAATAAGTTCTACTGTCCTACAGCATTGTAAAGTGACTATAATTAACAACAATTTTTTGCATATTTTTAATAGCTAGAATAATGGATTTTGAATATTCCCAACAAAAAGAAATGATAAATATTTGATGTGATGAACATGCTAATTACCCTGATTTGATCATTATACATTGTATGTAAGTGTGGAAATATCACATGTAACTCATATATATGTGTCAGTTAAAAATATATAATAAAGCAAAAAAGACCTATAAAAATTAGGCTGGGGGCAGTGGCTGAAGCCTATAATCCTAGCACTTTGGTATGCCGAGGCAGGAGGATCACTTGAGGCTAGGAATTTGAGACCAGCCTTGGCAACACAGTAAGATCCTGTCTCTACAAAAAAAATTAGCTGGGTGTCGTGGCATGTGCCTGTGCTTGCAGCGACTTGGAAGGATCCCTTGAGCCCAGGAGTTTGAGATGCAGTGAGCTATGATCATGCCACTGGACTCCAGCCTGGATAACAGAGTGAGGCCCCATCTCAAAAACGAAAATTATATCCATAATATACGTTATACTTTACATTATTTATAAAGCAGGTTTGCAAAAAAAAAAAAATCAAATGTTTTCTTTTAGTGCTTCATGCAGTGTCTGATATGTTGTAGGAACTCAATATTTATTAAAATCTTTAATTTTACATTTTATTCTGTACATCACAAATCAAATATATGTATACTTCATATTTATTCATATGCATTTATACTGTGTAAATGCTGTATAAACATGTATGTATGATTTCTTACCACTTACAATTTTGCTCTGTTGTTATTGTTGTTTTCCTTCCTGAATATTTTCTTTTAATACTCCTCATCAAAGGTATGTCTACATTCTGCCCTTTAAATAACATCCAGTATTTCCAGGTCAAACTGATACAACTTGCTTTCCTGCAAACCTAACTTTATGCTTATTCCAAATTTCTATTTCTAACTTTTATTTTTACAACAAATTCAGTTAATCACCTTGTCATATCTTCTTGTATCCCACATTCTGATCCCCATTTTTTTTTCTCTAAGTAGTCTTATTTGGAAGATGTTTAAGCACAAAGATTGTTTCAGAAGTTTAAAATCTGCATGATTTTATGCAAGGATTAGAATTCCTAGACAAATGAAAAAATATTTCATGGTGCAAATATAAAAGAAAGACATATTTATTTGAGTTTGAACAACAGAGTGATCACACATCCTTCACCTACCTCAAACAGATCATATTTAGCTGACATGACTATGGGTTTCATGAAATTAATCTCTGACCTGATTTTTTTTAACCACAGCAGTGTCAGCTTTCTATTAATAGGCTCTTATCCAGCTGAAAATGTACATAGCTTCCTGATGTGTGCCAGCCCAGGAACGTGAAGGATACCCATTCCAAAGTAGGGCAAGGTGTCCTGGTCGAAGAACCAGAGGGGTCGTTTTTAAAAGTTCAGTTTAAAATGCAGATAATATGTATTATATATTGCATGTAGGTGGCTGAATATATATACAAACACCATTGATTATAGAACAAGTCACAGTTTGTATTTCAGAAATGCCTGTTGAGTTGAATGGAAGCAGGTTCAATGTAGCAATATTAAGAAGAAATAAATATTGCACAAGCTACAGTCTCTCTCCTAAGGTTTTCAAATATATATTAGTGGAAAAAAAAATAAAGTGCCTCTCTAATTTTGCTGATTATTAGCTGGAAAATGTTACTTGCTAGATAACTTCATTTCTTGGCTTGAAAGTCATTGCTACAGAAAGAATAATCTTGTTCGTCAATGTATCATTAGTTGTCACAATCATGAGCTCTGTGACCTTGATAAAGGAACTCCTTTTTAGTTTCAGATTGCTAATATAAAAGGGAGACTATTTATTTTTAAAAAGATTTATGTAAAAATATTTCATGAAAAATAAATTTGTTTGTTTGTTTTTTGAGACGGAGTTTTGCTCTTGTCACCCAGGCTGGAGTGAAGTGGTGCGATGTTGGTTCACTGCAACCTCTGTCTCCCGGGTCCTAGTGATTCTCCTGCCTCAGCCTCCAAGTAGCTGGGATGACAGGTGCCCGCCAACACACCCGGCTAATTTTTGTATTTTTAGTAGAGATGGGTTTCGCCATGTTGGCCAGGCTGGTCTCAAACTCCTGACCTCAGGTGATCCGCCCATCTCGGCCTCCCAAAGTGCTGTGATTACAAGAATGAGCCACTGCACTGGGCCCAGGAAAAATAAATTTGCCATTCTCCTATGCTAATTTTATATGAGCCCTCTAAAAATTTGTCTTCCAGTGAGTAAGAGAGAGTTATAGTAATCAGATACACACTGGTATATTAGTTTTCTACTGCACCATAACATAGTACCACAAATTTAACACAAATTTATCTTACAATTCTGTACTTGGAAGTCCAACATGGGTCTCAAGGAGCTAAAATCAAAGTGTCTTCAGGGCTACATTCCTTTCTGGGGCCTCTAGAGAGAATCCATCTCCTTGTACTTTCTACCTTCTACAGGTTGCCACATAACTTGGCTCATAGCTTCTTCCTCTATCTTCAAAGCCAGTGCTGGCTGATTGCATCTCCCGCTGGCCACCAACAGAAAAAGTTCTCCAATTTTGAGGACTTCCGTGATTTTATTGGGCCCACCCAGATAATTCAGGGTCCTCTCTCCCGCTCGAGGTTCTTAATAAAACCACATCTGCAAATTCTCTTTTCCAGGTAAGGTAACATATTTACAGATTCTGGGGATTAGGACATGAATATTTTGGGGGACAATTATTCTGTATACCACAACCAATATTCTCACTACTCTTCATCAGTAGACATTGTGTGAGCACTCTCTTATGCACAGTTTGTTTAGGCCTGCTCAGTGAAATTAAGTATTGCTCAAAATCCATGGCTCACAACCGTGTATCTTTTGGGCATTCTAATTTAAAAAATGCCCATTCACATTTGCAAAATTGTCAAGTTGTGTGACAACCTTAGTTGAGAATCTGCTTTTTTCTCTCCTCCTCCTCTTTCTCATCCTCTTCCTTCTTCTCCCCTCTCTCCTCCTCTTCTTCCTTGTTCTTTTTTATGAATTTCTCTCCAGTAACTCAAACATTTTATTATAATAATCAACATTTATTAAATATATTTTACTAAAGGAATAAATGTGTAAATAAATCAATGATGAAACTGAAGAAGTATAACAATTATAAAATTGCCTAGCGTCATGTTGAATTTGGCTGAAACAACTGTACACTAAATAAGTTACCATTATTCATTGGGTAATGTAGTATTATGAACTTAGTGTGCAAGATTGCAAGATACATTAGAAGTGAGGAGATTACAAAAATGCTAATATAATGTATTATCTGTAGCTGCATAATAAAAGATTCCAAAGTTTAGTGGCCTAAAACAACTGTAATCATTTATTTTGCCCAGAAATTTGTAATTTGGTTAGAGTTCAGCAGGTATGGCCTGCCTCTGCTCCACAGTTGTCACATGTGGTGGCTCTACTGGGGACTAGAGGATCCATTATCAAGATGACTCATTCACATTGCTGGAAAGTTGGTGCTGGCTGTTGGCTGGAAGCTTGGCTGGGTTTGCAGGTCAAGGTCTTGGTCTCTTTCATTATGGGCCTGCCTCCAGGCTGCTTTAATTTTTTCACAGCATAGTTTCAAAAGCAGGTATCCCAAACCAGCAACCTGGATATGTCTGGTATTTTTATGATCTAACCTTGGAAGTCATTTTCACTGTATGTTCTTTGTTGAAGCTGTTATACAAGTCTGTTTGTGTTTAACGGGAGGAAAAGTAGACCTCACCTCTCAAGAGAAGAAGAGTCAAGATCACAGTATAAGAAGAACACATGAGATGGGAAATCTTGCTGCAGCCACTTTTGAAAAATACAATCTGTCACATACAGACATCCATATATGAAATAACAGGAGTTTAAATTAGAACAGGAGTTCTAATTTAAAAAATAACTGAAGTTTAAATGAGAAGAAAAAGGAAAAGGTGAATACAAGAAATGAGGACTCCAAAGTTTAGAGACTGTGCATACAGATAAAAAAACAGAACCCTGCAGGTCCAGAGAAATAGCTGATTATGGGGAAAATTTCATGAGTTTCAGTGTGCACATGTTGGGCTCTTGACCTCCACACACTTTTGCTCTCTTCCAGGCAAATAGTTTCTCTCTTTGATTTCTTTTCCTCCATCTCCATTCTTCAGATTTCCATTGCCCATGAAAAGAATCTTCTTGTGCATGATCACAAATTTATCATGAAAAGAATCCTCTGTTATTGTGAGTTTTAAGCCACTATACTACATGATTGATTTGGATCTTTATCCCTAATTAATTGGAATTAGTAGGGAATTTGTTTTTAAAGTCTATATGTAGTTAACTAGGGTTGCGGCTTTAAAACTTCAACGTGTGTCAGAATGATCTAAAAGGTTTGTTAGAACACAGATCACTAGGCCATACTCTCCTCTTACAGTTTATGATCCCAAAAGTCTGAGATGTATCCCAGTAATGTCCCTTTCCAATAAGTGCCCAGGTGATGTTGACACTGCTGGTCTGGGGACTACACACTGACAAACTCTGATCTGGGAGAATAAAACTTATTCGGAATTTTCTCAAAGTTGTTATGTCCATATAGCTCACATGCATTCATACATTTTGACCCAAATCAAAAAACAGGAAAGAATGCCTAGTATACCCATGCTCTTCACAGAGTTTTACAAATAGAATTTTTTTTTCGTTTTTGGAGGTAATACAATATAGATAAATGGAGATAGATTATCTTTTAATCCTTCTTTTCTCACACACTGAGGCAGAGTTAGGCTTTCCACCTCAGTAAAACCTCCTTCCGTTAAATTGAATATTGAATAATTTCTGAGAGCTTAAGCTAGCAAACTAAACTAAAGTGGACAAAATTAACTGCCTGAAGTTGTCACCTTTTAAAGATGGGCAATCTTCATCTAAAAGCAGGAAGAATAGAAGTGGAAACCTAAGTTTTGCCTGAATGTTAACAATAGCAATATTCTAATAAAGCCAGCAAGTCAAATTAAAGATGATGTCCATTGGATAAAAGTGTACCAAGGATCCTAGAAGGAGGAGCCTCAACAAGCAAAAACTCAGTTGCTCTCACCAGTGCCCAGGACAGCAAGGTGCAGAACCTAGTGACAATGGAGATTCTAGTCATGGAGTGTTCTGACAGAAGCAGGAAAATAGGGACCTTTTTTGTCCACTGCTATTGGTCCAGCTCCAAGTAAAATGCTTGGCAATGAGGACATGACATTCAATCAATATTAGTTGAATGCCTCACTCTACATGTCAATTTTTACATTGCTGCCCATACAGTCTCAAAAAGGGGTTGCTATACGGTGAGGATTACTATCTCAGAGACAAAACTCTGAGAAGTCCTTAGGATTCTATTCATTTTCTCTCTGCTCCTCCAAACATCCATTTTATATATCTTGTGAGACTAGATCAATTTCTTCTAAAAAACAGGACGTTTCTAGGAGACACCCACAAGGTCACCCTTTCTCCACATTTTCCAATTAGATTTAAACAATCCAGTTTGAGTGAGCAAGGTGTCTTCTTCATGCTGAATTCAACTTTTCACCATAGAACATAGTGCCATGAAATAAACATACATTGATAATAGAATAATAGATATTAAAACTAAAAAAAGAACATAAAAATATCATTCATCATAGCCTCCCCCAATTGAAACAAAAATCTATTGGATAAACAGTGACTTTTATGCAATGAAACACTGTACAGAAAGAAAAATAACAAACTCTAGCTACATACAACAACATAGATGACTCTTATAAACAAAATGAGGAATTAATGCAGCAAAACACAGAACAATACATGCCATGGTGCTCCATTTATATAAAGAACAAACTTAGCATAACTATGTTGTTTATCGATGTTGAGGTCATAAAACTATAAAGCAAAGAAAGAAAACCATTACCAAAAAAGCTGGTTCCCTGGAGAGGAAAGTTCAAAGAAAGAGGAGCCTTAATTGGGAAGCGACACCAAAGTGAGAGTCAAAGTATGGATAGATGAATATGGGCTTCCCATGTGCTGGAAATAGTTCCCTGATCTGGGTGTTGGTTATGTGGATATCAACTCCATTACTCCTTAGTAAATGATATATAAAGACAGTTGACTCTTGAACAACATGGGTTTTAACTGTGTAGTTCCACTTACGTGAGAATCTTTTTAAATGAAAGTTATAGTGCATATGCCTGGCTCTCTGGCCTCCCCTTCCAACTCCTTAACCTCTTCTGCTTCTGCCACCACTGGGACAGCAAACCAATCCTTCCTCTTTTTCCTCCTCCTCAGTCTACTCAATGTGAAGATGATGAAATTGAAGGTCTTTATGATGATCCAGTTCCACTAAATGGATACTAAATATATTTTATCTTCTTTATGATTTTCTTAAAAAACATTTTCCTTTCCCTAGCTTACTTCATTGTAATTATCTCTCTCTCTCTATATATATATACAGACACACACACACACACACACACACACACAGGCACACGCACACACATATAACATACAAAATATGTGTTAATCAACAATGTTTTTGGTAAAGCCTCTGGTCAACAGTAGGCTATTAATAAAGTTTTGGGAGGAGTCAAAGTTATATGTGAATTTTCGACTGGTAAGTCGGTGTCCTTACCCTTGTGTTGTTCAAGAGTCAACCGCATATGTGAGTTATGAAACTTTCAGAGTCTGTATTTTACTAAAATGAATTTTTAAGAAAAATATTTTAAAAATTATGATGACTCATAGTATGTTTTTAAACACTGAACTGAGGAGACGGCTGTTCTCTTGAAAACTAAGCGGGACAGCATTATTCAGTAATCACCACAGTGTCCTAATTCTTTTTACACTTGTATATAGAGTTCTTGCGCATTTTGGCCTCTAGCTCAGTATTACCTAACAACTTAATTTTAAGCAAGTTTTTATATGATTTGAAAATACATTTGTCATCATGATAGTATTGCAAAGGATTAAAGAAACACTGGAGGTACTCTAAGCACATGTAGAGTTCACTATGACAAAATATTGGGTGACTCTCAAGTAAAAGAAATGTAATCCACCTTGAGGTTTGCTATTTAGCTTGTGTAAAACTCTATCGGGCAATTTTGCAAAGCACTCTCTTTCACTTTACCCATCAGAACTGCTTCCACCTGTGCCTCTCCTCAAATTATGCTGTCACTTTGCAACTCATTAGTTAGCTCAAGGACACAGAAAATAAGTCATCACCTTTCACTGATTTTTCTCAAGAGGGAAGTATGTCATTCCATTTAGTTTGTGAATCTTTTTGCCCTGTATTTCCCTGAGGTTATTGTCTTTTTTTTTCCCTTTCTATTATAGAATTATAAGTAGCAAATTGAGGCAAACAAATAACTGATTGGAGAAGCAAAATGACCTTCTCACCAATCCAAATCCCCTCTATTGACATAAAAAGAATCTTATATATAAAATTGAAAGATAACTAAGCTTAGAGTTTCTCATAGTTGAGGATTTCAATCCCATCTCCTTTGAAGCTACCACTAGCATCTATACTCATCTTTATGTTCTTGTTAACTGTGGTGTAGTTTATCATCTCTGATAGGAAAATTTTGGGGGTGTTTATGGAGTCAAAATTATGGTGAGAGGTGCTACTGGGTACTAATTATTTTGCAATCTTTAGGGAAGATCGTTGCAACAAATTTTTCCACCCTGAATGCCAATAAAGTGTGTCTCCTTCAGCTTGGTTCACTGAACCCAAGATCACCATATTTATTAATTTAGTTTAAGAAATCAAATACTTGTTTCTAAAATGAATTAACCTGGAATTTTTAGGATCTAGGGATGTTGTTAAAAACTTAATTCTTTGCTCTTTCTTCTGTGTTCCTGTCCTTTAATTTAGAAACATTCTTCAAATGTTAACATAAGTTCTCCTCCTTTATGTCAGTCCCTGACCAACCAAATCCATCCATTCTCCTAGCTTCTTAGATTTTCCCAATATTAATATCTCATCAGTTGATTTGCTTATTTGTTTTATATTGATTCATTCCCTAATAGCTTTATACATGTAAACATTGTCTATTTTAAATTTGACAAGAAACCAAGAAACCTATCTCACAATTTTTGTATATAACTTTATACATACTTCTTTCAAGAAACTTTGAACTGGCAGCCCAGTGTCAGAGAGTTACATATACAATTATCTCATCATTTCTTGAGGACTAGATTTCTGTATATTTTACATTTCATCCTTAGAATTAAAACAGTACCTGGCAAAAGTAGATACCAAAAATATATACAAGTGATGTTTGTTAGGTGCATGCTTATCACTCAGGGGGTCAGACTTTTCATTCCTCTCCATCCACAGGTAAATGACAGAGTGATAGGAAGAAGATAAAATACTATGTCTCAAAGCACCTGGGTATTGAGAGCTCACGTCCCTCAAAAACAGAGACCCATACCACGATAGTATAGCACATCATTCTAGCCAGACCAACAAGACACTTCAAATCCTGAGGGACTGGGCAGAAACTGAGCAGTGAAATCTGGTCTACTTAATTCAAGAGGTAGCCAAAATTTTCCGGAAACTGTCAGAACTATTATTTCTAATATAACTCTCAGTCACTATGAACAAAGGCCCTAGAGAATTCTGCTGACTTATTGCCTTAATCTAGTCATTACTGCTACCCTAAGTACTTTCTGCTCACATTTTCAGAGGCTTGGTCTATGGACCCTGTCATGCTTTTACAGCAACTCTTGACAAGACCACTGGCCTGACCACTAGTTCTCATAGTATTTAGAACAACTCTGCCAACAGATTTGGTTTTACTGTAGCAACTGATTCTTCTTTGTAAGCCAGAAGAAACTCGTTTAATGATTACCTTTCTGACAGTTGGTATTTTTTTTTATTTCTTCATGAACTGGAAATGGTCTCTATACATACAAAGTAAGCTCAAAGTAGCGTATGTGGGGATGGAAATCAGCAATAGAGGTTCAAATAATGGGAGAACACTCAGATGGGATGACAGGGAACTAGGAAACATAATAACTGTTAAAAACGAATCAGAAACATGAAACATCCAGCTTTTATAGTATTATAGCAACAGTGTGCCTGACCGAAAATTTAGTATTTAAATCAGGAATTTTACCCAATTTCTTGGCAAGGTAAGTTGGTATCCCAGTCATCCCAGGGCTACATCCCACAGACTACTAATTCTCACCTACTTCCTGTCTCTTTTTTTTTTTTTTGTCATTTCTGCATTGATCAAATGTACTCTTGATCTCCTTACTCCTTGAAAAATCATTACACCTTCACAATAATGTCATGTGCACTGCGAATTACCAGTGTTAAGAATAGGACATTCTTTAGTTATACTAAATTATTTTCAGCAAGTTTCAAAGTGAAATAATCATAAGATTTATGAACAATAATATGACATTCTTTACATCAAACACCATAAGGCACACCTTGGAGATACCATGCAATAAAGCAAATAATTGCAAGAAAGCAAATCACACATTTTTTTTTCTGTATCCTAGTGTATATAAAAGTTATGTCTGCACTGTATTCTAGTCTATTAAATGTGCAATAACATTATGTCTTAAAAAGCAGTGTAAGACCTTAATTTAAAAATACTTTGTTGGTGGGGATGGTTAATGGGTACAGAAATATAGTTAGAAAGAATAATATCTAGCATTTGATAGCACAATAGTGACTACAGTCAACAGTAATTCATTGTACATTTAAAAATAACTAAAAGAGTATAACTGGACTGTTTCTAACACAAAGAAAGGATAAATGCTTGAGGTCATGGATACCCCGCTTATCCTGATGTGATTATTACTCATTGTATGCCTGTATAAAAATATTTCATGCATCCCATAAATATATACACCTACTCTGAGCCAACAAGATTGAAAATAAAAAATACTTTATTGCTAAAAAATACTAACAATCATGTGAGCCTTCAGTGAGTCATAATCTTTTTGCTAATTGAAGGTCTTGCCTTAATATTTATGGCTGCTGACTGATCAGGGTGATGGTTGCTAAAGGTTGGAGTGGCTGAAGCAATTACTTAAAATAAGACAAGAGTGAAGTTGGCCACATCGATGGACTCCACATTTCATGAAAGATGTCTCTGTAGTATGTGACATTCACTGTTTGATAGGATTTTACCCATAGGAGAATTTCTTTTGAAATCAGAGTTAATCCTCTTAAACCCAGCCATTGCTTTATCTTCTACTCTATGTTATATTCTAAATCCTTTGTAGTCATTTCAACAAAGTTCACAGCATCTCCATTAAGAGTAGAGTAGCTTCCATCTCAAGAAACCACTCTCTTTGCTCATTCATAGAAAGCACCTCCTAGGCCAGGCATGGTGGCTCATGCCTGTAATCCCAGCACGTTGGGAGGCCAAGGTGGGTGGATCCCTTGAGACCAGGAGTTCAAGACCACCTTGGCCAACATGGTGAAACCCCGTCTCTACAAAAACATACAAAAATTAGCCTGGCAGTGTGATGCACACCTATAATCCCACTACTCAGTGGGTGAGGCACGAGAATCACTTGAACCCAGGAGGCAGAGGTTGCAGTGAGCCAAGACTGTGCCAGTGCATGCCGAACTAGACACTGGCTCAAAAGAAAAAAAAACAACAACAAAAAAGTCACTCTTCATCCATTCAAGTTTAATCATGAGATTACAGCATCTTCAGCTTCCACTTCTAATTCTAGATCTCTTGCTGTTTCCACTGCATCTGCAGTTGCTTCCTCCACTGATGTCTTGAGCCCCTCAAAGTCATCATGAGGGTTGGAATCAACTTTTTACATAATGGTGATATTTTGACCTCCTGCCATGAATCAAAAATATTTTTTATTGTTCAATTCCCCATGTACCCTAGAACTTAAAGTATAATAATAACAATAAAAATAAAAAAATTTGTAATGTAAAAATTATATTTTTTAATGGCATCTAGAATGGTGAATTCTTGAGAAAGTTGTCAATATAGTTTGCTTGGATCCATAAGAGGTATTTCTCCCTATGTCACCTATAGCCTTATAAAATGTTTTTTTTAATTTTTTATTATTTTATTTTATTTTATTTTATTTTATTTTTTGAGACAGAGTTTTGCTCTTGTTCCCCAGGCTGGAGTGCAGTGGCACGATCTCGGCTCACTGCAGCCTCCACCACCCGGGTTCAAGTAATTCTCCTGCCTCAGCCTCCCAAGTAACTGGGATTACAGGTGCCTGCCACCACGCCCAGCTGATTTTTTGTATTTTTAGTACAGGCAGGGTTTCACCACATTGGCCAGGCTGGTCTTGAACTCCTGACCTCAGGTGATCCACCCACCTTGGCCTCCAAATTGCTGGGATTATAGGCATGAGCCACCGAGCCTGGCCCACAAAATGTATTTCTTAAAAAATGTCTTGAAAATCAAAATTACTTCTTGAGCCATGAGCTGCAAAAATGATCTTCTGTTAGGCACGAAAACAACATTAATCTTTTTGTATATCACCATCAGAGCTCTTGGGTGACCAGGTGCATTGTCAATAAGCAGAAATACTTTGGAAGAATTTTTTTTTTGAGTAGTAAATCTCAACAGTGGGCTTAAAATATTCAGTAAACTATGTTGTAAACAGATGTGCTGTCATGCAGGCTTTATTATCTCATTGATAGAGCACAGGCAAAGTAAATTTATTGTAATTCTTTAGAGCCCTGGAATTGTCATAATGGTAAACCAGCATTGGCTTCAACTTGAAGTCACCAGCTGCATTATTCCCTAACAAGAGTCAGCCTAAACTTTGAAGCTTTGGAGCCAGGCATTGACTTCTCCTATCTAGCTCTGAAAGTCCTGGATGGCATCTTCTTCTAATAGAGGACTGTTTAGTCTACATTGAAAATGTGTTGTTTAGCGTAGCCACCTTCATCAATGATCTTAGCTAGATCTTCTGGATAACTTGCTGCAGCTTCTACATCAATCCTTGCTGCTTCCACCTTGCACTTTTATGTTGTGGAGATGGCTTCTTTTCTTAAACCTCATGAACCAACCTCTGCTAGCTTCCAACTTTTCTTCTGCAGCTTCCTTACCTCTCCACATCTTCACAGAATTGAAGAGATTTAGGGCCTTGGTCTGGATTAGGCTTTGGCTGAAAGAGAATTCTGGCTGGTTGGATCTTCTATCCAGACCACTAAAACTTTCTCCACATCAGCAATAAGTTTGTTTCACTTTCTTATCATTCATGTGTTCAGTAGCACTTTTAATTTCCTTCAAGAACTTTTCCTTTGCATTCACAACTTGGCTGTTTGGTGCAAGAGGCCTAGCTTTCAGCCTATCTTGGCTTTTGGCATGCCTTCCTCAGTAAGCTTAATTATTTTCAGCTTTTGATTGAAAGTAAAGATATGCAACTCTTCCTTTCACTTGAATTCTTAGAGGCTGTTGTAGGTTATTAATTTTCCTAATCTCAATATTGTTGTGTCTCGGGGAACAGAAAAGCCTGAGGAGAAGGAGAGATAGTGGGAATGTCTAGTTGTTGGAGCAGTCAGAACACACATATTTATTGATGAAATTCACCATCTTATATAGGGGCAGCTTGTGGTGACCTAAAACAATTACAATATTGATATCAAAGAACAATGGTCACAGATCACCGAAACAGACATACCAATAACGAAAACATTTGAAATACTGTGAGAATTACCAAAATGTGACACAGAGACAGGAAATGAACGCATGCTGTTGGAAAAATGGTGGTGATAGCTTTATTCATTTTCTTTGAAAAATGCAATATCTGTGGCATGCAATAAAGCAAAGTGCAATAAAAAGAGACATGGCTGCAATTCAAATTGGAATCAAATGTTTTATAATCTGTCCAGTCTTTATTCTCACTGTTATTTTTTGCTCTTTTCTTTTTGTTTTGCAATGTAGCAGGGACCTTTTATCATTCATTTTTGTGTCCACATTGTCAGGCATTCAATTTGGTACGTAATAGGTATTAAAATATTGAATAAAACCAAACCTCTGGCATGACATACTGCTTCATAAATCTACATCTAGGATGATAATTAATACCATAGAATCTAAAATTTTGTTATATTTCAGATGGAGGTAACTTGCCTTTTTCTAAATGCAATGCCTAATATTTCTGCAGATTTAAATTCACAAACTTGGCATTTTACTATACTGTAGTAACTTTCAGATTTTACAGTACGCTTTTTCCCCTAGTCAATAATATATAGGTTAAATCAGAATAACCATGGGCAAAAATAATAGCTCCAGCAGTGAATGTCAGAGAAGTGCCACTTCATATCTCTTATTTTTGTCTTGACATTATATTAAATGTCTTCCTCAAACAGAAAATTCCCCTAATCACATGATAATTTTATTTTCAAAGGCAACAGACAATTTTCCAAGGAAAGTTTGCTAAATATGTATTTTGAACGTCTGTATAAATGGAAACTGAATCTCTCACATCCACGAGCTCACTAATGCCCTAGACCATATTAAAACTAAGTTTGAAATACTAAGAGTTTTTCCTTCTTTTGTTTTTCTCAACACTTCAGTAACCTGTGTCAGGGAGGGGAGAATGATGCAGCAAATGCGTAGCAAAGATAAAACTGGTTTGTCACAATGAGTTCCAGCTTCATGCTGTCTAAATGAAACCAAGTTTCCCCTATAAAGAACAGGTTGCTCCATTTAAATTATCTTTGTTCTTATAGGTCAAAATATCATGTCTTTAACTTGTTTGGGTGAAAACCACATGCCCTAGCTTCTGGCACAGATAACAAATTAGAAAATATCTAAACCACATATATTTAAATGTAATATTTAAAGTACATTGTAAGTGAGATAGAGTCTGCAGTTTATGAGGAAACAGCTCATTTACATACCAAAGAATCTCTCACAATTGTAAATTCTGTGTGTCTTTGACAGCTTCACTTCAGGCATGGAGATGTGGAGATGTTTGATGTTTAGAGAGCATTAACTTGTATAGAGCAGAGCAAGACTTTATTCATTGCACATTTGCCAAGGATACTCTTTTTGGTTTCCTTTGAAGATAAAAATTACTATCTGTTTGGACCAGGAAGTTCATCTGTCTCTGCATAACCCTCACTAGGGGTAATATATATTTACATGACAATCAAATAAGTATTCTCTGTAAAAAACCAAGCCTGTCATTCGTATTATCCAGGGCAGGTGGGAACTGGAGACAGCAAAAACTTAACCTTGACAAATCTTCCTAGAACTTTAAGTAAAATGGAGCCTGAACTCCGTAAAGTCGACATTATTGTATGATGTTAATGCATAGTTGCCAGATGAAGATTTTTCCCCTGCTTTGTTCTTTTTAAATATGTTACATTAGATAATATGTATTTTTTAAAAATACATTAAACATGTCCCCAACGGGTTTCTTTTTGTTTGAAAGAAGAAAAGAATAATGTTTTAATACTATCTTTAAGCTCCAACTAAGCATAACTATAAAACCAAAAGCTTTACTGGAAAATCTTAACCATTTTCTTTTCAAATTGATATATTCAACACAAAGGTCAATGTAGATGATTTTAAAATTGCTTAGTTGCACTGTTTTATGTTTCTCTCATATTAAATATTGTTAACTGATTAAAAATTAATGCCAACAGTATTGGAGGCCTTAAGTCTCTATGGATTCCTAAGCCTTTAGTATAATAACTGAATAGCCTCAATTCATTTTTGCATTGTAAAAGTAGCATGAATTTTAAATTACAGTCATAATGATAACCAAAAATAAATAGGAAAAAAAATAAGAAACATTTAAGCTCATAAACGGAACATTTTCATGGATACTATGTGCTTATGGGGTGGGGAGAAAAATAGTTCCTATTACAAATAATAATAAAAACTACAAGAAAAAGCTTCTTAACGGAACCTAACAAGGGCTGACACTACACAGCTATATTTTCTGCTCATTGTCACTGCAAATTTTGTATCATGGATGATTTGAACAATTTAAAAAACATAAACTTAATTTGCCAAATAGCATGATCTTGTAAAATTTTTAAAAATTCCTCTGGCCATATTATTTTTAATTAACCAAGTTCATGACCCTTCTTTTGAGGCCCCATCCTCCCCAGACCAAGAGTGGTTGAGTAGTGGAGATAGTGCCTGAACCCCAATTTCTGACTTAAGTAAAACTCCATGCACTTACTACTCTATCACACTCTCTTTTCTTAATGCTTCTTTCTCCCAGCTCTGCACTATATTTTCTCTCTGATTTTCAGTGAACTATACTCTCCTGGTTTTCACAATCTGCTTTTTTTTTTTTTTCTATTTTCCTAAAGTGAACTTGAGCAGTAAAGAATAACAAGAAGTTTCAGAGTCAGACTAATCAGGTTTATGTGATACCTGCCTTTCACAGTTTTTGTGATATTTCAAAGAGATAGTCATACAAAAGCTTCATACTTAATACCCTGTCAATAAATGCAATGTTCCAAGCCATAGCACTTTTTAGAACTATTTTTTCTTGCATCATGTTGACTTCTTAGGCTTTCAAATTGTTCTCAGGTTTTCCCATGACCTATCTCAAAAACAAACTATTTCTAATTAATGTCTCTAATTAATGTTACCAATAATATGAAACTAACCTCCAGATTCCCATATTATAATAGATATTAAAAATGATTACTTCCTTGTCTGCTTTTACAAACATAAGTATATTTCCAGACTACTCTGCTTAATATGAGCATATTTGGTTTTCATTTCAGTAACAACAGACACTGTTCAATTTAGAGAGTAATTTGCACTTACGAATAAATTTGGTGACCAGAGAATTCACTGACCCATATATGTTATGAAAATTAAATTCTTATTAAAAGATTTACTCTACTAACAACATCAACTCTGTTTTTTTTCTTAACTCTTTATTGTGAAGAAGCTTAAATAATCCCAAAAGTAGACAATATTATAATGAAACTTAATGTACCCATTATCAGCCTCAACATAATCAACTAATGGCCAATCCTACCCCACCCACACCCCAACTACTTTCTTCTTGGGCATATTATTTAGAAGCAAATTTCAAATATCACATCACCTCCTTCATAAATATTTGAATGTGTATCTCCAAATAATAAGTAATTTTAAAAGACAACCACAATACGGTTATCCCACTAAAAATATAATTATTCATTAAGGTTATCTAACATCCAGAGTATATTAAATTTTCACTTGTTTCATCAGAATTTTTTAAGGTTGTTTGTTTGAATCATGATCCAACCATTCCATACATTGTGATGGGTTGCTAACTTTTTACATTTCTTTTCATCTGTTCTCCAGATTTTCTTGTTCTTGTTCCCAGGAACTTATTTGAAGTAACTGGGTTGTTTGTACTGTAGAGGTTCCCAGAGCCTACTGCCTACTATGGTGTAGATTTTGGCATATTCCTCATCCCTCTATTTCTTAAAAATTGGAGGCTGTGTATTTCCTTTTCCTTCCCTCCTTTCTTGCTTTCTCTTTTCTTTCTTTCTAGTCAGAAGAGTCAGTTCTAGCTATCATTTTAATGGTTGGTTGGGTTTTGCCTTGTATTTTGCCAATAGTGTGCCTTTTTTGTGACTTCCAGACTTTTATCCATGGGTCTGTGCATTGCCCTCAAGTGCTACATAATGAAAAAATCCAGTCTTCTACTTAAACAAACCATGCACAAATCTTTTCATTTAACTGTGCCTTTCACCATCGTGGTACTCCTCTTTTGAATAGGCTAGCTTTCTAATGTCAGTTTTAAAATGTACTTATAAGACTAAAAATAATATATGTGGTATGTTGCTTTATCAGGAAAATCAAGAACATCTCCTGGAAGTGACCAGGGCTTGAAACTAGTGCTACATCCCTTTGTACCCCCAGCTCATCCCCGCTTAAGCCAGGGCAGCTGCCCTTTGCTTTGATGAGGTAAATGCAGAAACATAGGTTGGATCGCCTCATAATTTCACCATCTGTCATGCTAGATGATATAACTTGTTTGCCTAGTTGTTAAGTAGTCTGGCTGTGAATTCTTGATTTTTTTTTTTTCTTGAGAGCAATAGTGAGTAATCTTGTGCTGCAGACTCTATGGGAGTAATGCAGTGTGTAGAATATAAATGACCATTTTTGCTCTAAATTTTGAATATCAAATCTTCTCATAGGTTTGATTGTTACAGAAGCAGTGAAACGTGATTCGGCTAATGGTAAGGAAAGAATTCCACACATAGTGCAATAATTCTTCTCCTGAAGCCTGAGGTTATGTAATAGTTTATAAGTTGAGAGTTGGATATAAGCTCTTCTAACATTTTAAATAAAAAGCTTTCTTGAACTAAGCGTTCTAGTAAATACTAAGTTAATTATATATGGGATTCCCAGCAACTTGGATACATTACATTGCAAGGAAGATAAAGGACTGTTTATAGCCCTAAACCTGTGTGCTGTTTGAGTGTAATCCAGTCTGGGCCTGATTCAACCTACCTAAATGTAACATGGTCCTAGTGTAGGCTCCAATAACAACCTAATTGACCAACCTAACAGTCTCACACAGTAAGAAGACATATCCAATATGACTCTGTGGTCAGGCATGGGTATGAATCCTAGCTATATCACATACAGTTGTGTGAATTCTAGCACATTCTTTAAACTCTCTCAACTTCAGCTTCCTATTCTCTAAACAGCAATAATATTAGCCTTTATTCTCATTTGGTGGCCCTGAAGATTAAATGAATATTTATCAAGCTTAATACAGTGCTTGACATCTTATGTCTTCAGAATAAATATGTTATCATTGCTGTTATAATTATCTTTATTAATTTATTTTGCCAGAATCAAAGGTGTTATTACCCTAAAATCCTTTGGAGTTCAACTTTGTCCTATTTCTAATTTATCTATTACTCTGTACCTGAAACACAATTCTGTATTTAGCATTATTTCCTTTCTTCCACTGGATGAAGTAAGCCAGCTTGGAACCTGCAGTGGAAATTGATGTGAGCAACTAGGTGAGGTTATAGGCACGACATGCACTGTAGTTGAATAAGCACTGGGATGAGCCATGGGAGGCATGAAATTTATCCTCAGATCTCTCCTAATTTCCCATGACCATGAGACAGTCATATAATCTGTATGAGCCTTGTCTTCCCAAAACTTGAGATGAGAACAGTTAACTAGAGCTTTCTAAGGTAATGAGTTATCTCTTATATTCTTAAGTGCCACAAACTGTTTTGTGTGTGTGCGTGATAAATGGATGGAAAAGGTAATTGATTGATAGGTGGCATAGGTCTACTGATAGAGTGCTTACATTTCAGTAATGTGTCCAAAAGTGATTGCAAGCCCCAGGCGTGATGGTTCTTGCCTGTATTCCCAATGTTTTGGGAGGCAGAGGCAAGAGAATCTTGGCTTGAGGCCAGTAGTTAAGTACAGCCTGGTCAACATAAGGAGGTCGTGTCTTTACAAAAATAATAATAAAAAAAAAATTAGCCAGGCATGGTGGTGCACACCTGTAGTCCTAACTACTTCTGATGCTGAGGTAGAAAGATTGCTGGAACCCAGGAGTTTGAGACTGCAGTGAGCTATGATCATGCCACTGCATTCCAATATGGGTGACAGAGAAAAATTCTGCTCTAAAAAAAATAAAATAAATAAATAAATGGTTGAAAAAAATATAGCAGATGAGATAAAATAAGACTATTTCAGGCTCAGAAAATAGCCTGTACCAAGGCACTGTACAAAGGTATACCTTTTATAAAAGACTGGAGGAAGACAATTGTAGCTAGGGCACAAAAGGTGAGAATTGCAAAGATAACATGAAACTGTGTAGTAACAAAGTGTGAAAAAACTTTGGATATCATCAAAGAATGACTGTGCTTCCTTAAAAGATGAGTTCATTTGAGTTGGCAGTCTAATTTTCATTTGAGAAATATTATTAATAAATCATTCCAGAAAACAAAAAAAAATGCATAATTGATGTTCAGATAACATAGATCCTATGAACTGTTAAGGCCCGGAAGTGGAAAATGACCATCACCCAAGAATTAGATGGTATTTCTACTTTTTAATTTTATTACTAATGTAATTATTTTTATGGGTAACTCCAGAAGGTCTTCCAAGGCCCTTTTAAACCCCCGCAGAGCAAAGGCAGAAACAAAAGCTCTATTTCATAATCAAGAATTTTCCTGTAAAAAGTCTTTTGAATCAAATGCAAGTTCTACAAAACATAATCCACAAGCAAGCCCAAGATGGTTTAGTCAACTGACCTCCTGAATCACCTGGGAGCCCAAACCCTGAACAGAGGTAGAGAAACAGAAGATTAAGACGCTCGTAGCTATCTTAATAACTTGTGCAGAGCTAAACAAGAAGTTTTTATACATAGCTTTCTTTAAGGCAAACTAAAAGCAACATGACACAGAATATCTAAGGAATAGGAAAAATGCTATTTATATTTAGTTAGCAAATTCTGAACTAAAATTGGTAAAGAGTAAACCTGATATCCTCTCACAGAAAAGAAAACACACACACACACACACACACACACACAAACAAGATTTAAAGGGGCTGGGTTTAAATGTTGGTAATGCTGGTCTTGAGCAAGTCACATAACATTTTAGTTACAGTTCCTTTTTCTGCCAAACTGAGATAATAATGCCTACTTAATTGAATTGTGTCAGTTTTAAATAAGTAAACACACATAACGTTCTGAGCAAAATACCTAACACATAGAAATCTCTCAGTAATTGTTATTAATACGAGGTGTCAGACTGAATTTCTCAGTGCAAGGTACAAATAAGGCACTTCTTATAAATATTGACTAAAAATCTCCAACAGAAATTACTGTGTGTCCATACTAATTTCTACCCTCAAAAATAAAAACAAATATTCTATTTTTCAGTTGTATTATTCAAAGCAAACCAGCACAGCATTTAACTTGGAAGTTGTTAAGAGCACCACCTGTCTGATTTTCTTACAGCTGTCAGAAGCAAATTTTAGATCCACCTCCAAAAGTTTTACCTCAACTAGAACCAGACTGTGTCTGTATTCAAAGTAATTTAGTTTTGAAGGTTTCCTTCATTCTAAGAAATACGTACATATATATATGAAGTATATATGAAATATAAATATATATAACTAGCAACCATCAAATAGAAGATATGTATTATAGTATGTAGCTTTCAGTAAAGCATTGAAACAGAAAATATTTATTGTAACATAAAGATAGAATTTACCATTTAGAGGAAAATGAAGAATGAATTTACAAAAAGAACCAGAATTCTAACACTTAATTGCTTTATTTTAAAAATCATACTGATTCACAGTAAGTTTGTGGAATTCCAGTCTTTATCTCTGAATTTCCATTAATGGTCAAATAAATACAAATTTTATGGGAACACTTATGTCTTAAATTGTATATAAATCATATATATGTATGTGTGTTTTACATACCCTAGTAGGAAAGGAAAAACAAATTTAAGGTCTCCATTTAAAAATATCATAAAGCAGAAATGCTTCAAATTACTTTTTAAGTTTAAGTAAGCATTAGTGTAATATTTTAAGTAAGCATTAGTGTAATATTTTAAGTTCATCATGGTCTCCATCCTTGAAAACTTTGTAATTTTTGCTGGATAAGATATCGGCCATCATGTTACATGACCATAGCTATTTATAGAGGTGTGAGTAACAACTGTTAACTAGTGGGGCCTTTGGTATAGCAGAGAACAGTTTCCACATGCAAAATTTAAGAGAAATCTCTTTTTGCTCCCCCAATATACAGATCTGGCAGCCTCTCAGCTCCTAAATCCACTTCTCAGATCCTGTATAGAATCATTGACCAAGGCAATTACCTTAAAGCAACATTTTAAATGGACACATCGACAGTTAATGTGGCTGTCGATTTGCATATTTTTTTTCCTTACTTGATACTATCGGAAAATGGTAGCAATACCTTCAGCAGTGATCTCAGTCATGGTGGTCGTCAAAAGTAAAAGTCAGTTGAAAAGTTCCCGTCAAGTTGCACTTTGCAGAGTATTTGGGGATTTGAGAACTCTGGTGGAGGGTTCTGTGTCAAAACCTGGGGGCTCTTCGTTTTCCTGGCTGTTTCTGCTGCTTCTTTGTTGTCCTGTTGAACTTTGCCTCTCCTCTGCAGAGTTCTCCCCCTGGAAACAACCTAAGCCCTTTCCAAGCAGCACTTGTGGCTCAGCTAGAAGTATCAGCTTCAAACAAAAATAGCCTCATCTCCCTAGGACTCTTCAGCACTTTTTTTTTTCTTTTTTGGCACTCTAGAGGAACACACACACAGACACACCAGCTCTTCAGCCCCAAAGAGAGAAAGGCAAAAAACAAACAAACAAACAAAAAAAACCAAATGAACTACAAAGTACCATCTAAGCCCCCGCAGTTTCTCTAAGATAATTACAGATCCTGGGGTCTATGTCAGAAAACATGAAATAAAGAGTTGAAAGTAATCTTATCCGTGAGAGCTCAGATTTATTCTTAGTGCTCTTAATGCTCAGAACATTCTTCTTTCCCTTATTTGGTTTGGGGAGGGTCCCAAATGTCTATCACAGGCAAAAGGGAGGGTAGTCTTGAGTAATTTTCTAGAAGTTATGTTCCTGTTGATACAAATCCACTTAGCAAGTGCAGTTATTTATATAGGGCTACACTTAAAATTGCAACTATTAAATCTTGAAGCTTTCTTTTAAAGTAGTCATATTGTAGAAGATTAATATTTTCTGAACACTGGCCAATAAGAATTATGTAATGTGAATTTATAGTGTGATACTTGAAAAACATTGGATTGATGAATTACTATCTTTTTAATTCTCTCTACTACCTTACTAAGAACTAAATACCTGCATTTATCCATGCAGTAAAAAGGAAGGGAAGGTGACATAAAGTTTAGTAGTCCACAGCCAATATTTAAGTAAAGTATTTCCTTATCTCAACTTAAAAAAAAAAGGATTATAGCAGCCACTAACAATTAACCAAATTGGCTGATTAGCATTTCACCTTCCCACTCCTAGACAGGTGTTAATGAGCAAAAAAATATTCAATAGTTGGTAGTTGGAAGCAAAAGGAGAATCGAAGGGCATTGATAATCATAAACTCTAGCCAATCTGTGAATAATCAAGGGTTGACTACACTTTTATTTTATTCTCATATTCAACCTAATAAATGCTTGTAGTTTAATCTTTTAGCTTGAACTTGATACTTTTCGTTTTCAGACCTCCCGAATTCCTATGGTACTTCATAGATCATGAAGCAAAGCCATGTTTGTTATTTTTAAAATTCAGGCTCAGAAGAGTGCTGCAACAGCTATTTCCATAGGCAATGACCTCCTCCCTGTTAGTGGTTCTGTCTTAATCTACTGCCCCCATTCCTGACACAATAGAAAGTTGCTCATTTACCAGCTGAATACATAAATTAGTAACAAATCTTAATTTACAAGGAGGAAATGATTACATGATTACATTCATGATTTTATTCAATTCCTATATCTAGGACTGGGCCTAGAGCCTTTTAACTACAAGTTTGCTATCTTCCCCAAGAAATGAGGCCTTGTTGCAGATACTATGACTTAAGGTAAAGGGGGTCACTGCAAATTAGGCCCACTAGCGGGATGAAAAGATACAAAATCCTCAAGAGCAGCTTCCCAGAGCTCTGGGTTGGTCTAAGGAGGTATCCTAAGAGAAAAGCCCTCCTTACATTGCCCCCCACAAAGAATCTCCAGTCAATAGTGCCACAGCAGTTCCAATTGTTTTGAAAAACGTAGCACTTCATATCTCCATTCATCAGTTACTTTCATAATCTTTCATTGTAGTTAACTGAAGGAATGACATCTTATGTAACTCATTAAGAATTTTCATGGGTCAGATCCTAAATAAAATTAGGCTCTGGAACAGGAAAAAACTCAACTTTTCAAACTAGTTTTACTCAATAAAAAGTTAAAATAAGACTCTAGAAAAGAAATACTAAATTCCTAGTATTGATGTTAGTCTTAAGTTCCCAATCACTATTTTCATGTTAAACATACTGGAAGGAAAAATAAAAGAAAACATATTCTAGACAATAAACATGTTTTGAAGATAATAGCTTTTTCAAACCTTTCTGTGAGATGAGTTGATGAATGTCATTAGGCAGTGAGAAATTGGCATGGTTCTCATTTTGAAAAGTTATTAGGACTCTTTCAATTTATCTGAAACTCCATTCATGAGGTATGTCTTTGAATTCCAAATGGAACCCTGCCAAGCTTTCTGAAACCAAGCAACTGACATTCTTACAAGTGTGTACACCTACTCTTCAGGGAACTCAAAGAATAAAACATTACAAACGATTCATTTGCCCTTCTTTATTTTTAAAGGGTCTTCATTTTTAAAGAGATGTTACCAGTTCATTGAGCTCTTTCAAAAGGACCCAAAAGTGATATTTCTCTCTTCTCAGCAATAGCTCCTGGAATAACTCTCACATCCCACTTCTGCACAATCAGCACAGGTAGACTTGTCATAGTTTTGCATACAGGGATATTTATAAAATTAGGACATTAATAACTGAGCTAGTCTATATAAGTAAATGATAAACTGTGAAAATTTGTTCTCCTATTAATGTCGCATTTAGGTCAAGGGGCATCTCCAACCTGATTATACTGATCATTACCCCTTGTAATATTCACTAGTTATTCTAAATACTCAAGTTAGTAGATAAAAATATTCTCCCTTAGAGAAATTTTTAAACCTTGCTCCTGTGTCTGCTATTATCATAAACACTCAATAAGACATGTATTCTATTTAGCTATGAGCAAAATACTGTCATCCACACCAAGTTTCAAAATGGCAAAATATTTGGGAGGCAATCAGAGAAGTTTTGTTGATTTGTTTCCACCATAAT
The DNA here is from genome assembly GCF_000001405.40 of Homo sapiens. Taxonomy (NCBI): domain Eukaryota; kingdom Metazoa; phylum Chordata; class Mammalia; order Primates; family Hominidae; genus Homo; species Homo sapiens. Next base: position 123,639,693 of record NC_000006.12, read on the forward strand.
AAAATAAAATTAATTTTTTAAAAAAAGTCAAACCATACTGCATTACCTCTTTCAGTGCTGATTTGTTTTCTCTATGATGTGCAAAAAGAGACATAGTTGGGTGTAGATTGGTATTTACCATTACTCACTTATTTTCTCAGAGACTGGGGATATTTGAGAGAAAGTAAATTTTAGAGTTTATTGTCAAGGCTTTCTGTTTCTTAATTTACAGACACAAGTGGCTTATACACTTTGCTAACCTACCCACAAATTGGTGGTAAGTGGAAATAATGGAAACACACTTTGTACAATATAGCATGTCTAAACAGAGTGCAAATAAATGTGTAGGATGTACAATTGGGAGAGAAAGAGCTATTTACTTGGATTTTAAAATAATAATTGCCATAACTTCCACATAAACCTAAGGTTTCAGGTTCATTTTAATAGGAGACAAAAATAACCAACTGGAATGATTTCAACAAAGAGAAGGAGAGGGCAGAGTATCATGATGCAAAAAACTTCCATAATTAAGAGCAAACAAAATATAAGCTACTGTTTTAGTGCCTCAGTTGAAGTAGCTCACAAGGGAAAATAGACAGAAGTTTACTTTCAGCTTTGTAGGTAAAGAAAAACTGGCAAACACAATTTAAATTTGTAAAGAATAAATGTTGGCTTTTTAACCCTTGAAATGAAGAAATATGGAAGAAACTAGGAATAGTGGAAGTGAATGTGAGACTATTTGCCTTCATTTGACCTTGAGATAACATTAAATAACCTAGAAATTTCTCTGACGCTTACATTTAATAAACTTAGAATTCAGAATCACAAGCAAAGCCTCTATTGAACTATTATTTCATTAATCTTACTTCATCTCAGCACTGTTGTTCACTTCGTTTTAAATTGTTTTGTATTCTATTTGTGTCACGGAAAATATCGTTCTGCCCTCATTACTATCTCTAAATGGCCTGTGCTCATTTCTTTAATCAAGGTTGAAAGTCATTCCATAGGTTTGGCTTACCATCTGATTATTTAGAAACTGTGTAATCCAGATCGTTTCAAATGACAGAAGGCATTCCAGTGCAATTAAAAACCTTCCTCTCTTTAACTCTGACTCATGAGTAGCTGAGTCTCCAATATCAGGCTTCTTTCCTCACACACATTTGACATTGTCAAACATTCTCTTAGAAATTTTTCTGTCAATCTGGTTTTTAGTTAACAAAGGCCATCGCCTTTGTTGCCCCTTCCTTCTTAGAGATTCCATTCTCTGAAGAGCTGGCGTCTGTCCACTACCATTATCCTGTTTAAGAAGATCTGCAGTATCCTGCAGTAGTTGGTCCCTGTGGAGTCCATAATTCAGATTACTGCTTTCTATTCTGCAGTCGATCACATATGACCTTCAGTCTGTGTTCCTGGTTGCTGTTCAGAAGCAATTTATCATTTATACTTTTTCTATTTCTTATAAAATCACAAATGCTTTTCTTATAAAAAATAAAATATCTGATAACCAATTCTTAGATACAAATTTTTTTCTTTTAAATAATTTAAATGGATATTTCTATTTCTAATTTTGAAAAAAATTATAATGTCATCTTGTTCTTGGCATTTTGCTATTTCACATTATCAACAATGTGATCTGCTGCATCTGGTGTATCATTACTAAATACCTCCAAGAGTCACCAATTTTGTGAGCTTACTTATTAATAATGATGCAACTTATTAGTCCCCTTCTTCAATAAATCTATATTAGCTATTTGCTCTGGGCACTAGGCTAGGTTCTAGTGAAACAAAAATTAAGACAGGGATTTTTTTTTTCTTCAAGGAGTTTATAGTCTAGTAAGAGAGTTAAACATTATAATGCAGTGTGTTAAATTCTAGAATAAACTCTATGCATTTTTGGGGCAGAAAAGAAGTTGTAACAGTCCAGGAAAAACTTTAAGAGAAAGGAAATACTGGAGTTGAGTCTTGAAGTGTAAGAAGCTACTTAAACACATGGTTGATTGAGGACGTAATTTCTAAGTAGAGGAAACAACTCAGGAAAAATTAGAGAGACCTAAGCATCATGAACTTTAAATAGTTCAGTAACATTTGGTCACAAGGTACTTGTAAGGAAACTACAGATAAGGAAATAAGGGAATAAAAAAGGGATGGATACTAAAGTATCTCATAAGTCATACTAAGGTGTTTGGTCTTAACTCTGATTTAGGATGACAATAAAGTGTTTTTAAGCAAGAACATGAAGTGATCACATTTACCTTTTAAAAGGACTGGATACAGCAATAAAATGGTCATCATACTTTCCTTAAGACAACTTCAACGCAGCCTTAGATACAGAAGTCAAATTGCAGAATGAAGGGCAAATGAGAGACCACACAATGAAGAATGAAACTAAAATACACTTTAAGGAAGCTTTTTTGAAAAGCAGGGAAGTGAAATGGATTAAGAATTAGATGGGGATACAGGCTAAATTAGGGATAATTTAGGATACGGTCTAAATTTTTAAAGATCAAAGAGTCTTGATCATGATTATCCTTTAAGGGAAAAAATACAGGAATGAGGGAGGAGAGATTTATAATATCAGAGAGAGAAACTATAAGAAATAGAGAAGGAGTTTGAAGCAGATGGAAGGGTAAAATTAGAGCTCATATGGAGAATACTTTTAAAGAGAAATAAAATTCTTCATAAATCTAAAAGAAAAGAAGTAAGATTTGGCACAAACATGGATAATTTTTTAGTTGTGAAAGGAGAGAATTAAAGGAATTCATGCCTTGTGGCATTATTTTCTCTGTAAGTCAATGTAATCTGCTGAGAAACAAAGGGTGAAAATGGAAGGATACCTTGAAGAGAGTTCTGAAAGTTTCAAAAAGCTGCAGAGGTAAAGCAAGAAGCAGCTCCATAATGGCTGCACAATGCTAGTGAGAGGCCACTGGGCTTAGAGACCATACATTTGTAGTAACAAATCCAGACTTGTATTAATTAGGGTAAGTCAAGTGGAAAAACCAAGAAGACCTTTAAATACGCCTCAAAAATAAAATAAAACTTACTTCCGTCTCCTGTTGACACTCAATCTACCAAGAATGAAACCATTTCTATGATTGGATATCAGGGTATTTGACTTCCATTTTTAAAAGTAATTTTTAAGCATTTCTTAATTCAAATCTCTTCTCTCTTTCTCTCATTTTATTTGGAGAGGGGAGTGGACTACCACCTGAATGTACCCCTGCAGAATGTTGCATCAATTCAAACTAAAGATGTATTTCACAGTCATTACAGAAGTCCAAGGAGGTATTCCAGGTTCGAGGGCAGCTATTCTCTATAGGGGCATTTAGAGATACAGGATATTGGCACTTCTGCAATCAATTATGTGACTTCCCAAATTGCTCTGGACATTAACACTCCAGCCAGAAGAAAGGCCATGAGAAAGGGCATGTGAATCAAGCCTGGAAGTGACATGAATTGCTACTGCTCCAGTCCATGCGGAAAATTTGATTCTTGGTCATACTTAACTGTAAGTGGGTAGAATTGTGGGATGGCAGTGACATCCTATTAAAACCCTGTTACTAGGAATGAAGTATCCACCACCCCACTGTTTTGGGGTTCTCCGTAGCTGTGATAGTAGATTGAGCATGAGAACAGATCATTAGATGGTTGAAACAAAATCTTTAGAAAGTTTGGCCTTCAAGAAAATTTTAGCTAAAGTTCAACCGAGGCAAGGAAATGGGAAGAACAGTACAGATATGAGAGTTTGGGAGAAGATACATAATCTAAAGGGCCTTTATTTAAAGTAGTATCTAAGGATTACAGTGCATATTTATAAATCAATCCTTTTGCATTCAGAATGAGGATTACCCTTGTACTTCTAAATACATGAAGAGCTGTGGCAGCTTATGAATATTCATGTGAATGAAGAACAAAGACGTACCTACCAAGAATGAAATCATTTCTATGATTGGATATCAGGGCATATGACTTCCATTTTTATAAGTAGTTTTTAAGTATTTCTTTATTCAAATCTCTTCTCTCTTTCTCTCATTTTATTTGGAGAGGGGAGTGGACGACCACCTGAACGTACCCCTGCAGAGTGTTTCATCAATTCAAATTAAAGATGTATTTTACAGTTGTCACTGATATATGACTTTGAGAATATGAACTGCTGTATAAATGTTAAATGTTCCCATCCTCATGAAAATCACATTTCACCTAAGAGCCGTGTCTGGTTTTGTTATTCATTATTCATTTGCAGTCAGAATTTTTCATTTTCAATATTACAATTAATTTGAATATTATTAAGTGTTGTCACAACTGGCAGATTGTCAGCTTTCCTTGACCTCTTAACATGTATTCACTCTCATTTTAAATACTTCATTTTTATTCTTAATCTCCTTCAAAACAAACCAGAACCATTTACTCTGTCTCTAAAAATTCCATTTAACAAAACAGATCTGCTTCTCTTTCCTCACTTCTTATGCTTTTATTTAACAGGAGTTATTTTCTGTCTTACACGCCCCCAACAGTGTCAGCCTGACTACCTCAAAGTCAACGCATGTAGGATTTGCATTAGGAAAAATGTACGTGTTTTGTCAACTTTACATCCCACACAGAAATCGTGGGCTTTAAGTTTAGAATATAATTTCAAACCAATATGAGTGATATTTCACACTGGGAACAAATTAGAGTTGTGAACGACACTAGGGATATAAATCCATGCTGTCCTGGATGGTCAGTAAGTAGAATAGATGGTTGGATATGAAGAATAATGTAGAAAGCGCCCTTGTCCCAAAATGTGTCACCCAGTAGAGAAGCCTGTTGTATACAAATCAAAGAGTCTGTCCTGTAATTTAAAAATTAAATTTGAAAGCTATTTTCAATCAAAACGGGAATAACATTTGGAATACAAAATTAAGTTAGCAACTGTATGGCATATCCTGCCATACAAGCCCTGGTTTTCAGGCTTGTGCCCTTTACAGATATTGTTTATTTATTGTAGCATCCTCTCTCAAGAGTCTGGATACTGTCTTGAAACCCTGTCCAACATCACAGTCCATGCAGCCACTACAGCTTACCTGTTGGTTCTTATGATGAATCGCAGTGCCATGAGCTTGAAAAGGGAGTCAGAGGGACTGATTGAGAAGGTTGAGATCTCACTGAAGGGACAAACAGGGGCATAGCCAATGCCAAACCTCACAAACCTCTAAATTAGGGTAGGGGCTGCTGTGTCTTTACGTACATACGTGCTCAGCATTATAATCTGCAGAGACAATTCTGACAATTCACTATATCATTCCAACTATAAAAATCAGCAGTTATTTCAGCTGGTTCAAATTAGAAAGATCTATAATTTTGTTTTTGCTTTGGAAATGTTGTGGACTACAGACACGTTTGATTTAGTCACTGATTGCATTTACATTCCACTAGATTAATCTAGCAGCATCCTATTTTTTTTAACAGAAAGCTTAAAAGCAAAGGAAATTAAAAGAAAAAATAAAATATTCTTATCAAAAAATTATTAAGTTTCTACCTACTCACAGGTGGCACTTATTTCAAAGTATGATTAGTTTACAGATGTTTAGAATATGCACATTTACAGTTTTAAGGATATTAGAAATAGTTAAAGCTAATGTTGGCATTTTACAGGGGAAAGAATTAACACTTGGAAAGGTGTTAATTTACCCACATGTATATAAATTATTAAAGAGCCTAAACTAGAATCTCAGCCCAGTGATCTTTACATTACTCCTTGCTGGGTTTCTTACCCCCTTATCCAGCCTTTCTGGATTTGAACAAGAATCCCATTTATCATAAATATAAATCCCCTTTGGTCTACTCTGAATCCTAAAAAGAGGTGGGTGGTCTTACATATCATTGAAATAAAGGATGTGAATAATATCACCAGTTCTTTCTCCATTTTTCAGCTCTGTTTCTATCTATATATTTGCTCCATTCACATTTTTTAAAGACATTTTCCATGTGATGGGGCAAGTTATGGGCATGACTACAGATAGCCCCAGGTTCATTCAGATCAATAAAGATTATTATCTCAGAAGAAAGAGATGATTATCTTTTCCAAATCTCTGTATATAAAAATTATAAAAATGGGCCCTTAGTGATGGTCTGGCTTAAAATATATGTACATTTCCTGATCAATATCTTGACCAGGAGAATGGAACACTTTGATAGGCCCAAGCTAACCAAATCTTATGGCCCGTGGGCTCAGTGCAATGATTGGCAGCCTCTCAGAAGTGTCCAGGATAGGGGTATGAGGGAAGAGCAGCGGCCCAAGGAGGAGATGTTATTGCCAGAAGATAGTGACCCTTGAACAACCTGAAGTTTAGGTGCACCGACCCCTATACAGTCGAAAATCTGCATGTAACTTTGTCTTCCCAAAACCCAACTACTAATAGCTTACTGTTGACCAGAAGCCCTCCCGATAACATACAGTTGATTAGCACACAATTTGTCTGTTCTGTGTATTATATCCTGTATTCTACAATAAAATAAGCTAGAGAAAAGAAAATATTGGCTAGGCACGATGGCTCACACCTGTAATCCCAGTGCTTTGGGAGGCCGAGGAGAGTGGATCACAAGGTCAGGGGATGAAGACCAGCCTGGCCAAATGGTGAAACCCTGTCTCTACTAAAAATACAAAAAAAAACTAGCCAGGCATGGTGGTGGACACCAGTAATCCCAGTTACTTGGGAGGCTGAGGCAGGAGAATTGCTTGAACCTGGGAGGCGGAGCTTGCAGTGAGCCGAGATCACACCACTGCACTCCAGCCTCGGCAACAGAGTGAGACTCCATCTCAAAAAAAAAAAAAATGTTACTAAGAAAATCATAAAGATATTTACTATTTATTACGTGAAAGTGGATCATCAAAAAGGTCTTCATTGTCTTCATGTTGAGTGTGCTGAGGAAAAGGATGAAGAGGGGTTGGTTGATCTCACTGTCTCAGGGGTGACAGAGGTGGAAGAAAGCCCGCATATACATGGACCCACACAGTTCAAACCCATGTTGTTCAAGGATCAACTGTACTAAGCCAACAAAACAGATGTTCCCTCTTTATTGCATATATGAGAAAACACACACATACAATCGTGTGTACATTTTTCAGTCATATATATGTGAAATGTCCCATCCTTCCAATACAACTATCCCACATACAAGTAGGACGCATTTAACCTCCTCACCAAAGGGCTGAAACACAAAGTCATATCAGTTAATTCATCTCTGGATAATGGACAAAGCTCTTGATCTGGTCTAGATGTTTTTATTTTTATAACCCTGAACCTAGAGTTAAATGATACATTTAATCAATCTATAGTCATTTAATATACAATGGTGGAGAGAATAATCTCTTTAAAAATGAAGAAAAAAAGTAACATGTAGTTATCCCTGGTTCAGAATGTCATACATACTTTGAAAAGAAGCAAGAACTAATTGTTTTCACTTTCCTCAAAAACTACACATGAAAGATGCCACAGTACCATCTTAAAACCATAGTGTATTAGTTTGTTCTCACATTGCTAATAAAAGCATATCTGAGACTGAGTAATTTATAAAGAAAAAGAGGTTTCATAGACTCACTGTTTTACATGGCTGGGGAGACCTCGCAATCATAGTGGAAGGCAAAGGAGGAGCAAAGGCACATCTTACATGGTGGCAGGCAAGGCAGCATGTGCAGGAGAACTGCCCTTTATGAAACCATCAGAGCTCATGAGACTTATTCACTATTACAAGTACAGCACAGAAAACTGCACACATGATTTAATTACCTCCCACTGGCTCCCTCCCATGACATGCAGATTATGTGAGTTAAAATTCAAGATGAGATTTGGGTGGGGACATGGCCAAACCATGTCACATAGTCTGTCCTCCACAAAAGTCTCATCATTTTTGTGTTCTCTTTCCCATTACACTTTCATCAAGGACTGACCATTCCTTGAGGATACCTTTTCTCATGCAGTCTGTCAAGCAAGCAATATTTTATCTTGTACCTTAACACCTAGAGATATTTTGTGGGGTCTGTCTTACTTCTCATTATCTTTTTAGAAAGGTTTCTCCCTCTTCTTCAAAATTCATGTATTTACTATACATACTCCATCTTGTCACTGCCATCTATGTCCCAGCAAACCCTCTCATTCATTGGAAATGTTAGCACCCATCAATGTCTCCTCCATTTCTGTTTTCATCAGACAGTCAAGTAAGTGCTATACAGAGCCATATTGGAGCTTGAGGCAAAATAAAAATGTGCTGCTCTATGTACCTATAAAAACATCTTCCCATATTGTTTTAGTCTATCCAGGCTGCTATAACAAAATGCTATAGAGTAGGTAGCTTATAAACAACAGAAATTTATTTCTCCTAGTTCTGGAGCAAGTGTGAGAAGTCCAAGATCCCTCTTTCCTGGTTCATAGGTAATCTTGTCTCACTATGTCTTCACATGGTGGAAGGGGCAAGACAGCTTTCTGGAGCAGCTTTTATAAGGCACTAATCCTATTCTGAAGGATTCTGCCATGTTATGACGCAATCACCTCCCAAAGGTCCTCAATATCACCTTGGAGGGGTCAGGATTTCAACACATGAACTTGGGCAAGGCACAAACATTCAGACCATAGCATGTATTTTGAACCAAGTAGAAAAGTTAATAAAAGTTCACAATCAAAACACATGACTACAGAGAGCCCTCCCATTGCCTAATCTGTTTGCACATTGTTGCTCATTCCCATAAATTACTCAGTAGGGACACAGGTCCACAAGGGCCTAGGTATTGTCAGCTCTTTGGAAATGGCTGTGTATACTGATACATAAAAACAGTGTTTGAGTACATACTATATGCCTAGAACTGTGCTTTTTTACCAGTTATCCATTTAATTACCAATAACTTTTTACCAATTATCTCATTTAGTCCTAGATGTTTTCATCATGTCTCTCTAAACTTCTTTAGATCAACAGCTTTGTCTATTTTGTTCACACAGCCACATTGTATCTCTATAACTAGCATAGTTCCATGACCTTGGTATGAGTTATAATAGTAACAATACAAATATTTAAATAGAACTGAAATTGAACTTGGAGAAAAACCTTCAGATGACATCTCTTTTCCAATATTTGCCTGAACCCTTTAAGACTGGATAGTTTTGGATGGTTTTGTGTTTGTAAAAAGGCTTTCCTAATTAAGTTAGAGTTTTTCTGTTAAACAAACAAGGCCTCAAGAAATTGGATTCAGTTTCAGTGGCTTTAAACTGTGTAGATATTTTTGCTTATCTGGCATAATGGGTTTATATAGGAAAAGTAATTCCACTTCTAGTAATGCCAGATGAGGTAATTTGCACCAATTCTCCCACCAAAGACAAGAAAATCTTGGATAACCAGGAAAACATATATTTTAACACCTGTATTTTAGAACTAGTGAAACAATGATTAATTGGCAGTAATCCAGTGACAAAGGAAGCCCAAGTTATGAGCTTGTCTTCCTGTGGGGTTCTTTCTTATTTCAGAAGGAACAGATGAAAGTTGAGACAATGAGTGGTACTTTTGACAGTGTTCATGCATGAGAACAAGGATTTGGAGTACAGGTCCTCACAAAAGAGAATGGAACTTCTGAACTTCTCTCACTGAAAGGCTAGGAGTAAAGTTGTACCCTAGGAGTAAAGTTGAATCAAAAACAGACAGGCTCCAGAGATATAGAAACAATCTAAGCACCCCTTAATAGATTAATGAATGGATAAAGAAATTTGTGGTGTGTTGTGTGTGTATGTGTGTGTGATTTGTTATATATTACATAAATATAAAATGAAATATTATTCATCCCTAAAAAGAAGGAGAGCCTGCCATTTGCTACAACATGGATGAACTTAGAAGACATTATGTTAAGTAAAATAAGCCAGATGAATGAAGAAAGAAAATAATGCATAGTCTCACTTTCAAGTGTAATCTTAAAAAAAAAAATACATACTGAATACAGAGAAATAGTAAAACAGCAGTAATGCAGAGGGTAGGAAGGGATGCGTAGTTGTAGGTCCAAGGGTATAAAACTGCACTTTTATAGGATACATAAGTCTGGAGTTCTAATGTACAATATGAGAACTGCAATTAATAATATTGTATAATATACTGATAATTTGCTAGGAGATGTTAGGTAGTCTTAGCACAAGAAAAAAAAGAAAGCTAATTATATGAGATGATGGGTATGTTAATTTACTTGACTTTAATAATCACTATGTATACCAAGCTAAGTACATGAAAATACCATGTTGTACACCTTAAAAATATATATACAATAAAAAGTTACCAAACCAAAAAAAAGAAAAAAGAAAAGAAAATAGGGTCCTACAAGGATGGCAGCTCAAACTCACGTAATATTTAATCCAGAAATTGTATTAGGATAATTTCGAAAAGCTGTTTCCCTAAGATACCTGGCCAAAGCAATAATAATAATAAAATATAAATCCTCTCTGGAGGAAGATAATATTCTATGCCAGAGTTTATTTTTACCAAATGCTTGCAAATACTGTTCAAAGACACAGTTTAAAAATACTCAGGCAATAGAGACGCAAGATAGCATGAACACACAGAAGCAGAAATAACAGTGGAAGAAGTCTCTAAAAGCCTCTGATATTGGAGATATCAAATATTGATTTTAAAATAATTATACTTAACTGTGTTCAAGGAGATAAAAGACAAGAGGGAGAATTTTGAGGGAGAATTTTTAAAACTACAGAATTAAAGGGAATCCTAGAACTGAAAAAGTCAATAACTCAAATAAAGGATTCATTGGATAGTTTTAATAGCAGATTAGGCTCTGCCATAGATAAGTAACTATATATATCTCCAGACTAAAGCTGAGAGAATCAGCTGGAAAATACAGATGATGGGATGCAAGACAAAGCTGATCGAGAGAATGTGTATTAGATATAAAATTGGAGACAGGTGATATTTTAAAATATAATGACTAATAACTTTCTAACACTGAAGAAGGTCATCAAGTAAGTTACAGATTCATGAAGTATGAGAAACTGTACAGAATGAATACAAAAAAACTTCTCACAGACATATCAGTAAAACCACTGAACACCAAGGACAAAAAAAAAAATGTAAATACTGCAAGAGAAAACAAGAAAAGTTATCTTAGAAGGAGCATCAGTTAGATTTAAAACTGACTTTTAAGCAGGAAAATGTAAGCCAGACAAAAATAAAATTACTTCTTTAGAATGCTGAAAGAAAACTGATAACTTAGAATTCTATTCCCAACTATGAATATCTTTAAAAAATGCAGGTAAAATTAAGACCTTTTCAGGAATATAAAATGTGAAGACTTAATCATGAGCCTGCCTATAATGAAAAAAAATTCTAAAAGTCACTGTTTAATTGCATATAAAGAGAACACTTTGAAAAAGAATTAAGAAGCAACAAAAAAGGTAAACATTTGAGAATATCTCAGTGATACTGATCATATAAAACAGTAACAGTGATGCCTTGTGGCCTTCAAAATATAGAACATAATTAAATTACATAAAACAATGACATAGTTAAAGTGTTCCAAGTTCCTTGAGTTGTTCAGGATCAGGGTGAAAATAACAATTAGTATGAGACTTTGGTAAGTGAAGAATGAAGTTTTCTCTGGCGAACAGTACAAGAATCTTAAGACTGCATATCATCCAAGCTAATAGGAGATGAAAAGAAATATTTAAAAACTCAATCTAAAAGAAGGCCAGATGGGAGAGAAAACCCAAAACAGGAAGGACAAATAGAAATGGCTGAGTAAGATGGCGAAGCTAAAAGATATTGGTAATTACATTAAATTAAATTACATTAAACATAAAAATAACTAAATACTCTGTTTCAAAGATAAAAACAGAATTAAAAATACAAAACTCAACTATATACTCTTTATAAAGCCCTCATCTGAAATATGATACAGAAATATGAAAAGTTAACAGATGAAGAAGTTATACTTTGTACTATTAACCAAATAAGGCAGATGTGACTATGTTAATATCAAAGACAGCTCTGAGGCAGAAAGCATGGCTAAAAATAAAAAAGGGCACTTCATAGTGGAAAAAAGTTAAAATGAACCCGGAAGCTACAATATTAAATTTGTATGCACCTAATAACATAGTTTGAAGAATATAAAGCCACAATCTAAACAACTTTATGGGAAAAATAGGTAAACCCACACATCTCTCACTAGCTGATCAAATAAAAGGACAAAATAGAATCAGAAAGATACAGCAATATAAAATATTTGAACACCATAAACACCATAATTGGATATGTACCCTACAGTCTACTCAAAGCTACAGAAGAAACATTCTTTTTAAAATGAGACATAATATTAAAAATTGATTATATGCGAAACTATATATAAAACAAATCTCAAAATATTTCAGAGTACTAAAACAATACAGAATATATTATCTGGTCACTAAACAGTTAAGTTAGCAACAGCAAAAGATAACTAGAAATCAATACAGTTTACGTATATGACCACACCAAGTCTCATGTTGAATTGTTATCCCCAGTATTGGAAGTGGGGCCTGGTGGGAGGTGATGAGATCATAGGGGTGGATTTCCCTTGAATGGCTGAGTACCATCCCCTTGGTGCTGTGTTCATGATACTGAGTGAGTTCTCATGAGATCTGGTCATTTAAAATTGTGTGGCAAACCCCACCCCCAACTTTTTCTCTCTTGCTCCTGCTTTCACCTTGTGATGTGCCTGCTTCCACTTCACCTTCTGCCATGAGTAAAAGCCTCCCGAGGTCTCCCCAGAAACCAAGCAGACACTAGTACCACATTTGTATAGCCTACAGGATCATGAGCCAATTAAACCTCTTTTCTTTATAAATTACCCAGTCTCAGGTACTTCTTATAACAATGCAAGAACAAACTAGTACACAAAACTTTAGAAAAATATAAATTATAAAAGCTAACAAAAGAAGATCTAGAAACTATAGATATCTGGAAAAAATAAATTTAAATCCATAATTTTAAATTTTCTCAAAGAAAAAACTCCAGACCCAGATACCTTCACTTGTAAATCCTACTAAATATTTAAGAAAAAATGAATGCAAGTTTTAACACAAAATCTTCTAGAGACTAGATAACAAATCATTACTCTAAAATATGTTTTAACAGTTCATAATAACCTCAATAAAAAACTAGAAATAATAATCACAAGAAAAAAATTGCAAGTCAGCCAGCCTCTTTATACGTATAGATGCAGAAGTCCTAAGCAAAAAAAAAAAAAATAGAAAACTACCCCAGAATATATAATAAGATGCTGCATCCATGTCTAATTTGGGTTTACCCCAGGCATATGTTTGGCTTAACATTAGAAAATCATTAATATAATTTATCATATTAACCAAATAAGGGAGAAAACTCATATGACCATCTCAACAAATGTACAAAAATTTTTTGATATAAGAAAATATTATTTGATGTATGTATGCATGTTTAAAAACATTAAGGACCTTTCTTAATCTGACAAATGGCCCTTACACCAATGTTATAGCAAAGAACTCATCTGATTATTAAATGTCAAAAGCTTTCCTTGTGAACCTGGGAACATAACAGACTTTTCTAACCAACATGTCGTGAAGATGATGGTCTTATTGTAATAAGGAAATAATAATATGTCGAAAGATTTGAAAGGAAGAAATCCAAATGTCACAAATACAGTTGACATGATTATGTATATAGAAAATACAAAGTAATTTCCTGATACACTATTAAATTTAAAAAATTAGTTTAACAGGTAAAAGCTGATAAAACATTTTCAGAAAACCAGCACTAATACTAATTCCACTCTCAAGCACGTACCTAATATAAATGCAAGCACATATACCACACGTGCCCGAGAGACTTATTCAAGAGTGGTCCTAGTAGTATTGCTAATAATAGCCAAACATTGAAAACAAATTCAAAATTAATCAATGGTAGAATGAATAAGTTGTGGTGTATTGATACACTGAATTACTATTCAGCAAGGAAATTAAATGAACTACAGCTATAACAACTTATGTAAATCTCACAACCTAATTTTAAATAAAATAAAGAGACATAAAAGAATACATATTGTATGTGCATCTCTCTATTTGTATCATTTTTTTAAATAGACCAGGTAAGATAATATTTGAGAACACATACTTAGATAGACAGCAATCAAATAAGTCGTGGGAACAATTACCAGAAATGTTAGGATACAAGTCAACCTTTCAGAAGGAGAAATGGATCTTTATTGGGAGGGTGCATGAGATGCTGGCAATGTTTCTTTCTTGATCTAGGTGGTGGTTACACGTGCATTTACTTGCTTTGTATTAAAACTTCAAGATGTATACCTTTATTAAAATCTATTTTCTACATGCCCTATCTATTTTACAGTTGAAATGATCAGAACAAAAAAAAAACACTTTTTTGTTTTCAAATTTGACCAGGAACATCAAGAAAGCCAGTAATTGTAATAATATAGGAAATAGGGCAAGGATTAGTATGAAAGGAGCAAGACACTTACCTCTGGTGTAAAATGTAAGGGAGAGACAAAAAACTCAGTAATCAGACAAAATAATATTTTAATGGAATATTTTAAAATATTACAATAAACAAAATTCAAAAGGATCAGTAACAAAGCACAAATATGAAGACAGGATTAATATAGACCAGGCATGTTTTAAGTGATTTACATGTATTAATTGATTTAATCTTTGTGAGAACCCTATGAGGTAGGGTTCATTATTCCCCATTTTGCTAATAAAGAACCTGTGGCACAAAGGAAAGCAGTTAGTGTCTCAAGGTCACCCAGCTGGTCCATGGCAAAGCCTCAGTGCAGACCCAAGCCATTGAATCCAGAGACCATGCTCTTACGCACGACAATCCACCTACCCATTTGCAAGAGTACCCAATGCAGTCAGGTCGTAACAGCCAGTAGTCTCCTTTAATATTTCTCTCATTCTGTCCAAATCATATACTAATATTTGCAATAGATTATTGTGTTGGGAGGTGAGAAAAAATTGAAGGAAATCTTTATGAAGCCTCTCTTGTCTTGAGTAAGTCTGATTCCCATGGTGTGAGATATGGCAAGCAGCCAAGAGCATCTCTTAGAGTTCTCCAAGTCCTGCTGCCCTAGGACCCCTGTAAGAGTTGTTCAGAAAAGGTAATATTTGAAAAATATAGGTGAACAAAAAGTACAAATGTATAGCTATTAATTTGAAAACTATACCACAGTGTATTGGTGTATTTTAAAAGCAGCATAGAAAACTATGAAAAATTTGATGGCTTTTTTAATAAGGATGAGGGCCTGGGAAGAGAGTACGTAGCCTCAGTTTAACCTACCTTCGGATATACCAAGTTATTAATCAAACAACATCATTAATCTCTTGTCTTCTGTTAAAATAAGCTCAGTTTAGGCCAGAAAAAAAAGTCAGAGAATCAGTTTGATAAAAATGCAAAAAGCAGCTTAAATTTCAAAGGTGGCTCAAAAATGAATGGCTCTTAATTTCCCCAAGGTGAAACAGTATGCTTGGAGAACACAGAAAGAAACAGGGGGGAAAATTAGGGAACTAAATAATTCCAATACATATTAATGAGAGGCGCTTTTCAGGCAGAGTTTTGTGTGTAGAAACGAAATAGAATTTGTGAGAAGGTAAATTTCAATAAACAGTTATTTATAGATATACGAAATGAGTTCAGCTGAATTTCAGTCCTTCTTAAACTATGAAAATGTCCATTTTCTTCAAACAAGTCGAACTTTTCAGAAACAGGGCTTGCTATAGGCTGCCGATATATCTCACTAGAAGGTGAAAAATCCCATTAAACAACCGCTTTTTAAAATCTTTCCTAAATAGCTACCTTGATGGTTTCACAGAACTATATAACTCTTAGTGTATTTCCTGAATCTTAAAAACTGTCTTTAAGTTTTTCCCCTTCTTAATTTCTGTCTTTTTGTCAAACTGTGGCATAAAATATCACTTTTTAAAAATGAGAATTCTGTTTCAGGAAAGCTCTGTAGACAACGATTGTAACAGAACTGAGAAAGTGAAACCAAAAAGTGGAAATACAACTCTAGTGCCCTGAGGAAGATGGTGAATGAGTTAAGGTAAGACCCAGAGTATCGATCACAGTAGGAAAACTTAGAACTAAATGTTTTAAAGTGCCATTGTGAGAAAGTTACAGTTTTCCCTTCTAAGCTTCAATTAGCAACCTGTGAAGTAAATTTCTCTGAGGCTCATTTTGAAAATTTTAGAATGAAAACTAGTAGTAGACAAAATGTCAGGCCCAAAACTTTAGAATAATCTTTGTGATACTCAGTCGAGTCTCAAAGCCTTTCAATTCATCTCCTTCTCATTATTTTTTATAACAAAAGGAGTTATTTTTGACTGTTAGTGTTTCCATGCAACCATCTTTGACTGTTAATGTCAGAGATGGATCTGTCAGAGCTGTCAATATTCTCTGTGTTTGGGATTTCAGCCTTTCATCTGAACATAAATGTAGAGCTCTTGTATTTTGCAGTTTTGTTTTTTAGTGAGCATGAATGCAAAAGAAACTGAACTTAGAATGGCAGCTACAACTCTTCTGACAAAAAAAAAAAAAAAAAAAGATAATGCAAAAAGGACCAATTTTTAAAAAAGGGAAAATGTTTGGGGCATTAGAGGTTTTGTGACTCTTGCAATATGTTTCTCTTTTCTGAATTGTTGCTCATTACTGTCAATCACCACTCTATCCTAGAACTCTAGATCCTGTCATTTGAATTTCCAAATGTAAATGAAAAAATACATGCCTTTTCAATCCAAGTGAACTTCTTCAAGTTTACTTTAATAAAGGGTTTGTTGTTGTTTGTATGTTTTCTGCATAAGGATCTGAGTAAACATAAGCAATACAGAGTTTTCGTCTAGTCAGTCAGGGTTAGAGGAATGAAAGCTCAAATGTTCCAAGAAGATCTGATTATTTGTCCCAAATGTCAGAATATTGCAGTGAGCTGTGCACCACTCTTTCAGGGAAATGAATGATGGACACTGGGGAATATAAATTGACCCTATGAAGAGTTAATAATTGTGTAGAGAGAACATTAAAATTCTCCATTCTACCTCCATAAATTTTCCTTCCTTCAACAAACAGTAATTGAGTCCTACTCAGGTACTGTGCACCTGGGGATGTAATAGTGAACAAGTTACAACCGTAGCTCTAAAAAGATTATGGACAAGTAAGGAGAACCAGACTAACACTGGGGAAACAAAGTGAGGTTTCCAATGCCACTACCCTTGTTTGCCCCTAGAAGACAGGGAGTCTATTAACATAATGATGCAGCAGAGTCCATTTTTGAAAGGCAACCAGAAATTGCAAGCTTTGTGTTTTAGCTATTTCATTTTTAAGGTTCTGAAAGACCCTGTGCATCACCCATGCATTGACTATATGGGAGATGTTTGTTTGTGAGAACACGTGAGTCCCCTCATCTCACCAAAACAAATGAACCAGTGATCAAACTAGATCACTGTCCTGTTCAAACTCTCCATGACTTCCCACTACAACCAGAATAATATCCAATCTCCTGCTATGCCTATAAGGCCTTGCACGACATGGCCCTGAATACCTCTCTGATCTCCTTTTTATCTCTACAACTAATGCTGCTATGACAAGACCCTCGTTTCTGCCTGTGCCAAGCTTGATCTCAAGTCAAGACATTAGTATGTTCCTTTGGCTTGAAATTATCTACCTGCAGATGATTGCATGGCTGTCTTCTCACCATTCAGGTCAATTCACAATTGCCAAAACAGTGACCTCTTCTTGCCCCTTTCTCCCCTTCAGCCCCTCAACTTAGTTAATCTGCCAGAGTTTCTTGTTTGACTGTTTTTAGCATTTACCTGCAGTCTCAAATTATGTATGTGTTTGTGTGTTTACTGAATGTCTTATAATCCTGTAGGCCTTCCAACGTTTTCATCTCCCTATTCCTAGAATCTAAAGTATTGCCTGGCATCATAATAGGTCCTCAAAAAAATATTTGCTGACTGATGCACTGACTTGTTTCAAAGATTTTCAGAAATATTCATGGGAGAATGGGCAATAGAGTTTCGTGGGTACAAGATGTGGGCAAAAACAGAAAATGTGCATTACTGTCAATATGAAGTTAATTTGTATGTACAGACTACAGAAACTATTCGTATAAGATATATGCATTTCAATATAAGTGCTATAAAGGAAATAAGTCAGAATTTGAGAGGGAAGAAATACCCAGGAAGTAGTGATATTTGAGCAGAGAGCTCAAGGATAATAGGATATAGCTAGTTTCTAGAAGAATGGGAGATGAATGGATAAAGGTGTTCAAAAAATCAAAACCCAAAGAGGTTTAAACTCTACCAAAAAAAAAAAAAACTAGGCCAGGTGCAGTGGCTCACACCTGTAATCCCAGCACTTTGGGAGGCCGAGGCAGGCGGATCACCTGAGGTCAGGAGTTCAAGACCAGCCTTGCCAACATGGTGAAACCTCATCTGTACTAAAAATACAAAAATTAGCTGGGCATGGTGGCAGGCGCCTGTAATCCCAGTCATTCAGGAGGCTGAGGCTGGAGAATCACTTGAACCTGGGAGGCAGAGATTGCAGTAAGCCAAGATCGCACCATTGCACTCCAGCCTGGGTAACAAGAGTGAGACTTCATCTCAAAAAAAGAAAAAAAAAGGAGAGACTTTGAAAAGTGTGAAATGAAAGTAACACTAACATATTTGTATTATAGATAAATAAATAAGTTGAGACTAAAACCAGGGAACTGAATTAGAGAGCTGCTAAAGAAATCCAGGAGAGAGAGGTGATGGTGTTCTTAAACTTGAGTAGATCCACAGGGGAAGAATGGAATTGGATAAATAAAAAGACTGAGACATGATATAGACTCAACAAGACTTGGCTAATTAGTTGGGGGCATAAATAAAGGGTGTATTTTTTTATCTAATTTTCCTTATTAGGCATTTAGATGCATGGTGTCTCCAGTCAATGACATAGATGATTTTGGAGGAGATTTCAGGTTTCAGTGGACGAGATGATGTTCTTATTGAGCTTAAGTTATTAGAGGAGCAGCTAGGTGGAAATATCCAGGAGGCTGTTGGAAATACATGCCTAGGAGGATACATTTGTGCATCATCAGGATATAGATGACAAGTCATGGGAGTGAATGAGGTCAGGCAGTAATAGAACACAAAGGGAGAAGAAAATAAAACCTCAGCTGAAACCCTGTGAAACACCAATTTGTAACACATAAAAAGAAACCAGCTATCACATTTACTTAGAGCAGCCAGAAAGATAGGAGAAAAACTAAGTGTGAAAGCAACCAGAACAAACAAAAGAGAACATTTCAGTAAGAATAACAATTCAACAGTGTCAAGTACTAGGGGAAAAAAATCAAATTAGATTAGGTTTCCAACATGCCCATGAGATTTAGTGAAGTTTCTGATTACAATCACAAGAAGCTTTTATTGCAGTGGTGGTGAAGGTGGGTTTCAGATTGCAGAAATCTAAACAGGAAATGGAAGGCGAGATATGGTCATAATGATTGGAGATACATTTTAAAGAAATGTAGCCACTGGTGGGAGAATAATGAAAGATTGGAGCAGAGAGGTGAGGAAATATTGAGGTTATGATTGAAAGTAATGGAGAATGCATAAATGAAGACGGGAAAGAGCCAATAAGGAGGGTGGTCATGAAACTACAAGAAAAACAAGAGATAATTAATGAGCAAGATTGCTGAGGAAGTAGGAGGAATGATTGTATAAGACTGAGATAGATAAATTATAAGAAGGGACACTTCTTCCCATGAGAGGATTATAATAGGAAGAATATATGTAGAACAAGTAAATTATGTATATGTGGAATAGGAGAGACAAATAACAAGGAAAATGCAGGGAGAATGACAGATGGTATTGATGATAAGAATTTTTCAAGGCACAGTAAGTCTGTGATTTCCTTCAGCAGTGCTCAACTGCTCAATTATAGAAATGAAAAGGTGGTAGTTATATTGGTCAAGATTTGGGGGGCTGTTGGGTATTCAAGTGAAAAAGTAATATAGCAATAGAGTTAAGCTGTTTTGAAACTGTGAACATATGATCTAATATGAACAGGAAATAAAGATAAGAGGTGTTCACAGCCCAGCTGGTAGAATTCCTAAGAGCTGAATATTCTGACATATTTTCCTCTCATTCTCTTTTTAACTGATTCCAATAAGACTTTGTCTCAAACACACCATAGAAATGGTACCTGTGAAGAGTATTCATAATTTCCATCATGCCACATACCAATGAAGAATTCTCAATCTTCATCTTCCTTGACCCTCAGTAGCAAGATCAAGAAGAGACAGGGGATCACTTCCTTTCTTGAAACTTTTTCTTTACTTGGGTTCCTGACAACCATTTATCTTCGATTTACTCCTACCTTCCAAGCCACTCCTTGGTCTTGCTCTCCTGTTCTATCTCCTCTTTCTGAATCATAATTTTGGAAGCACCTAGCACTGAATCATTGAGCCTTTTTCCTTATTCCCTAAGTGATCTCATCCAACTTCAAGGCTTTAAATATCATCTATTTTCTGATAGCTTCAACATCAATCTCTTCTGTTCCTACTCTCCCACCACTTAACATCTCCATTTGGATGTCCAAAAAACAGCTCACACTTCAATTATGTAAAACAAATTTTTCATTCTTACCACCAACCCCATTCTTCCTTCAATTGTTTCCACTTAATAAATGTCATGCCAATTACCAAGTTATTCTGACTAAAAACTTAGCAGTCACCTTTGATTCCTCTCCTTCTCTCACTTCTTATATCTAAGCCATCATCATATAATATTGAAATGGGAGAGTTCCCTTATCCCCCTCACATGGTGTGCAACAGAGGTGTGGCTGCCCGCTGCTCAAACCCCTAGGGGAAGCATGCAGATGGGTGGGTGCAGAGGTCATGGGGACAGCTTTTAGGTGTCTAGGGCTGAGTGTTTACAACTCCCGAAGCCCAAGTGGGCATGTGTTACAGTGTGCTCTTTCAGCTTGGCTGTCTGCAGATGGCTCGTGTTAGCTCAATTGGACGCTCTTCCTATTACAAGGGCAGAGGGCTTTCTGTATCCCAAGTTCTTGTCCAGCGTACTGGAAAAATCAGATCACACGTGGGCTTGGAGGATGAGTGCAAGGTTTTATTGAGTGGTGGAGGTGGCTCCCAGTGAGATGGATGGGGAACAAGAAGGGAGATGAAGTGGGAAAGTGGTCTTGTTCTGGAGTCTGGCCACCCAGAGGCTGGACTCTCCTCCACCCATTCCTGGTCAAACTCACCTTGGCATCCACATCATTCTGTCATTGATGTTCTGCCAGTGTCTGCTGGTCTGTTCCTCTCAACATCCATCTGCTTGTGTCTGCGCCTGCTAGGTCACAGGTTTTTATGGGCACAAGATGAGGGGTGTGGCAAGCCAGAGTGGTCTTGGAAAAATGCACCATTTAGGTGTGAAAACAGGAGTGCCCATTCTCACTTAGGTCTGTGGCCACAGGCCCGAGGGTGGAGCCCTCACCATGGATCCCACCCTTCTCTACCCAGCACTTCCCTGCCCCCCTCCCATATTAATATGGTCTTGCCAATAACCTGGATCTGTATCCAGAATTCTACTTCTCACCACCTCCACTATTAATATCCTAGTATGAGTCATGATCTTTCTCTCCCTAGTATTGCCCAAAAAACCTCTTAAGTGATTGCTCTCTTTCATTTTTGTCCCCCTTACAGTCATTTCTCTACATAGCTGCTTGTGATTTTTGTTTGTTTGTTTGTTTTTTATAGAGACAGTGTCTTGCTCTGTCACCCAGGCTGGAGTGCAGTGTCACAATCTCAGCTCACTGCAACCTCTGCCTCCCAGGTTCAAGCAATTCTCCTGCCTTAGCCTCCCAGGTGGCTGGGACTATAGGTGCATGCTGCCACACCCAGCTAATTTTTTGTATTTTAGTAGTGATAGGGTTTCACCATGTTGCCCAGGCTTTTCTGGAACTCCTGAGCTCAGGCAGTCCACTCACCTCAGCTTCCCAAAGTGCTAGGATTACAGGCATGAGCCACCGTGCCCGGCTGCTGTGATCTTTTAGAAACAGAAATTTGATTACATATATTTCCTGCTCAGAGTATTTCAAAGGCTTCCGATGTACTTATTTAAAAATCCAAATTTCATGGATTTAAAGATCTACTAAAATTTTATCATTAAACACCTATTGACTTTATCTTCCACGACTGCTCTTCCTTCATTCACCCCATGTTTACTGTACCAAACAAACTGTTATTTCTCTAACTTGTCTCTACTTTTAAGTCTTTACACTTGTTGTTTCCACTACCTGGTATGTTCTGTTCTCAGTTATTAATATAATTTCTTTAATCCCTTATTCAGATCTTAAATGTCAATGAATTTCCCCCTTTCACTCAAAATGATAGATTGAATAATTGGTCACAACTCTTCACTCTTCTGCATTAGTTTTATATAAATCCAACCTTTCATGGCCTTATGCACATGTAGGTGGCATGTATTTCTCTGACCCTTGATTTGGGGCCAAGCCCTGTCTGTGACTTGCTTTAACCAATCGGGTATTAGCAGACCTGACAAAACCAAGGCTCAAAATGTGATTACCCAATTTGTCTTTCCCTCTTATTCTGATCTTTTGCCATGAAAAGAACATGCATGAGTGGCTACTGACTTAAATGGGCTGAAGAAACAGGTGGAAAGGAATTGAACTCAACCTGTAGCATGGAGCCAAGTCAAGGGAAGCCCAGCCTAAATCAAACTTTAGCCAGCCTGCAGATAGGTGTGTTGTACTGAAATTTTGAAGTTACTTTATTTTGCAGCAATATTGTGTCAAGAGCTAATTATTACACTCTTTTTAAAAGAGCCATATATATTCCATCACTTTTTATTCTTTTTCAGCTAAATTTTTGATATCATTCATTCCTACCCAACATTAAAATATGCTTCTTTAGTTTTTCTCCCTCTCTAAAATATTAATGTCTCTGAGAAAATGTCCTGTATGTCTTATTTAGCACATTATTCCCGGTGCCTAGAACCTGGTTCGGTACAGAGGAGGCATTCAATAGATAGTTGTGATTGAATGAATAAGAAGGAAGAGGAAGCCAGATACTAAATGTCATGATAAAGTGGGAAAAAATCTGCTGGAATTAAACAAATGAATGAAATGGAATGTTACATGGCTGAAGTCAGCAATTTCCATTTTGGATTTGATATTTCAGAGGTGAAACACTTCTAGGTCCATAGATCATATGACAGAAAAAACAGTGTGAGCGAAGCCTGTGCTGCCTAAACAGATAAATCTCTCCCCGCTCCCCGCACCCCTGACATCCATCAAAATGTCAAACAATCATATTCTGCATTTCTTAGGTCCCTTTAAAAGAGAATTGGATATAATAACTTTGCAATGTGAATAGACAGGGAAAAAATGTCAAATTATTAAAGTCACCACAGGTAGAAAGCAACATAACAGATGAGTAAGGACATTCTTTTATGAGAGAAAGGGGGCACTTGAAACTAAGTGTAGTACTAAAATTATTTGAATTCATCTATTAATATTTAACAAGTAATTTGAGTTGAGAAAGACTTCCTCTTCCTATGTAGTAAGTAACTTTTTAAAAAGATAGCACCTCAGAACATCTGTTTGCATAATGGTCTTCCAGTGTTCTTGAACTAAAATGTCAATTGGCAAGTAACATTTAACATTTTTAAATGTCTGTAAACTTGGGATTTGTTAATTATTTCTCCATTTTTCTGTGATGTCACTATTTTCTTCTTAGAATGCTTCATTTCCTGAAGGCTATCTAATTAATGGTCAGGCAATGAATACATGCTTAGCATTGGAGTGATGCAAAGTCTATTAATCCCAACAGTAACTCCCTAACATTTTTATGCCAGTGCTACTGAAAGCAGATTGCATACATTGGAAGCTGATAAGAGTGTTTATTCCAAGATTCAGCACTCAGGAATCTGATTATGCTGGGTTTCAATATATTGCCTTCAATATATTGCAATGGGAGAAAAATGATGTCTTATTTTGTTGATGAAACACAAGTATTCCAAATATGTTTAGAATTTTGTCTCAAACACATTATGAGAAATAAGTAGTTTATGTAATGTATAATTTAAGGTAGTTGGTTGCAAGCAATTGAAACTAAACTGGGTAAGTTGGTCAGAAAAGAAATGTACTTTATTTAGGCTTGCTTACTATGGGTAGAAAATCAGCTAAAGGATCAAGCTCTTTAAAAGGGCAGGAACCAGAGTAGCTCTAATGGTACAGGGCTCAGGAAATTCCAAATTCTGGCTGTGGTTAGAATGAATGAGCTCTCACCCTTTTTTCATGTTTCTGTCTCTCTCATCAAGAGTTGAAGTAACAGAACAGAAGTGCCAACTGTCCAAGTTTTGGTCAGGTATCAACCATGCTGGGAGAAAACAAGGCACAGACTACACGTAATAAAATAGAGAAAAGTCCCCAAAATGCAGTGGGTATGCTGCTACTGAAAGAAGAAATGAATGACCAAAAGCAATGAATATCTATCATTCTCATGAAACTCGCAGTCCTGATTAAGGAATAAATATCCATAACAATCATTCTTTAAGGGATGCAGTTTGTCAGGTTTTACTTACTATTTGGTCATCAGAATCTTGATTTTCTTTTTAAAGTGGGCAAAAGCAGTTCAACTCTCAGATACAACGAGGCATAAAATATTTTCTTGAGGTTTTTATGAAGATAAAAAATTTCTTAAGAAAGAGTGAAATAAAACTCTGGCTTTATACAATTTACTTTTTGATATGGTTTGGCTGTTTTCCCACCCAAATCTCATTTTGAATTGTAAATTCTCATAATCCCCATGTGTTGTGGGAGGGGCCTGGTGGAAGGTAATTGAACTGTGGGGCGGTTACCCCCATGCTGCTGTTCTTGTTATAGTGAGTGAGTTCTCAGGAGATCCAATGATTTTATAAGCGGCTTTTCCCTTTGGCTCAGCTCTCATAATTCTTGCTGCTGCCATGTGAAGGAGGACTTGTTTGTTTCTCCTTCCGCCATAACTGTAAGTTTCCTGAGGCCACCCACGCCTTCAGAACTGTGAGTCAATTAAACCTCTTTCCTTATAAATTACCCAGTCTTGAGTATGTCTTTATTAGCAATGTGAGAACAGACTAATACACTTTTATTATAAGCAAAGGAAACTATGGAGTTCTGTGTGTACATTGGGTGCATTACATGCATATACATAAATATGATTCTATATATAAATTTTTATAAAATTATTCATCTATAAGTTGATATAAATCCTATAAATCACTATAAATATTCTTTAATGGAGCTCTGATATACACTTAAATTCTTCTTCAGAGATAACAGGATAATATTAATAGTTCTTAGACAGACAGATCAGAGTTTTCTCTTCTGATTCAATTTGGGCTTTTTGTCTCTTTTCTTTACCTTGGTCCGATGCTCTTGCTTAGCGAATCCCTAGCATTGACCCCACCCCAACCCTGCTTCTGCTTTGCAATAGGATATAATTGTACTCTGAGCCCAGTTACTAAGTTCACAGTCTTTTACTCAGTTTATTTTAAATACTGGGTCTTTATGAGTAGAAGTGCAAGAAAAGCTTTCCTTTTTTTCTGTTCTCTCATAAATTGCTAGGCACTTGTTTTATTTCCCATCAGGAATGAAACCGTGATGCCACAGCTCTGTCTTTCTCTCCAGCCTGAGCAACCAATGGTCAATAATTCATCTTGGGTAGTATGAATAAAGCATTTCAAACTCTTTTTTTAGTACAATATTCACTTCCACCTGAGTTGCAGGTTTAAAAGTAAATGCATTGTTTGGCAATGGTATAGTACTTCCAATAAATAATTCCATTAATAGTGCTTACCAGTAATGCTGGTTAATTAATTTCAACCAATATGAATTATATCACTGATGATAGTACCTGATCGTAGTACTTACCAGTAATATTAGCTAATTAATCCTTTCCCAATTTTGAATGTCATATTAATAGTCTATTATCAAAAACTATTTAATGAACTAAAATATAAAGATATGTTGGGCATTTCTCAGATTCTTTCCAACTTTGTCCTTCAACATTCCTTTTGACAGTTAATAAGCCTGTCAAAATCAACTACATAGCAATTAAATTCAAGACATTCAGTTTGTAAGTACATGATAACACATTTTATAATATCATTTTTTTCTCAGACACAAGAAGAAAGGTAAGGTATAAGACATATTTAGGCATTAGAAATCTAAATCAATTTAATTTTCTAAGTATAAGTTTATTTTATCATATGGGGTTGGAAAAAATAAAGAAACAGTTTTTCCTTTTATACTCACACCATTTTCAATATTCTCACACTGGCCACCAAAACATTGGATGATTTTACCCATACCAAGTGTATTAGCCCATTTTCATACTGCTATGAAGAAATACCCAAGACTGGGTAATTTATAAATAAAAAGAGGTTTAATGGACTCACACAGTTCCACATGGCTGGGGAGGCCTCACAATCATGGTGAAGGTGAAGGAGGAGCAAAGGCACATCGTACATGTCAGCAGGCAAGAGCATGTGCAGGGGAACTGCCCTTTATAAAACCATCAGATCTTGTGAGACGTATTCACTGTCATGAGAACAGCACAGGGAAAAACCCACCCCCATGATTCAATTTCCTCCCACTAGGTCCCTCCCATGACATGTGGGGATTATGGGAGCTACAATACAAGATGAGATTTGGATGGGGACACAGCCAAACCGTATCACCAAGCAGTTCCCCAATGCTCAGTGAACAAGAACTGGGTGTGCTACAATTTAACTCAATTCTGACACTATCTACCTAGAGATAACCTCAGATCCTACAGATTAAGAGCTCAGTTTTACAAGACTGCCTCCCACTTCAGAAGTCAAGCACAAGTATTAAGTCCTCAGGTTACCACAACTTCTGTCCCATGTGGCTACAGGTCTGAGGTTCCCACAATCCGCTTCTCAGGTTCAATGATTTGCAAGAGTGGTTCATAGAACCCAGAAAAACAGTTTGGTTACTATTGCTGATTTATTGCAAGGATATTGTAAAGGATACAAATAAACAGCCAGATACAGATACTTACATAGAGGCTACAGTTTAGAAGGGTACCAAGTGCAGAAGTTTCTGCCTCATAGAGTTGAGTGCACCACCCTCCTGACAAATGCATGTCTTGTTGTTCACCAACCCGGAACCTATCCTAACTTTTTCCTTTTTGGTTTTTATGGAAGTTTCATTATATAGGCATGATTGATTAAATCATTAGCCACTGGTGATTTGCTTGACCTTCAGCTTTTCTTCCCTCCCCAGAGCCAGGGATGCCACTCAAAACTCCAAGCCTTTTTTTTTTTTTTGTCTGAGACAGAGTCTTGCTCTTTCTCCAGGATGGAGTGCAGTGGTGCAATCTCGGCTCACTGCAACATCTGCCTCCTGGGTTCAAGCGATTCTCCTGCCTCAGCCTCCCGAGTAGCTGGGATTACAGGCACACGCCACCACACCCAGCTAATTTTTGTATTTTTAGTAGAGACGGGGTTTCACCATGTTGACCAGGATGGTCTCAATCTCTAGACCTCGTGATCTGCCCACCTCAGCCTCCCAAAGTGCTGGGATTACAGGTATGAGCCACCACACCCAGCCAGTTCTAAGCCTTTAATCACATAGTTAGTTCCCCTGGAAACCAGCCCCTATCCTTAGGGGCTTTCCAAAAGTCATCTCATTACAACTCAAGTGTGGCTGAAAAGCGTTTGTTAGGATTAGCAAAAGAACCTCCTTTCACCTTTATGGATCTTATCCTTTAGGAAATTTCAAGGATTTTGGAAGATCTGTGCCAAGAATGGGAATGAAGACCAAATATATATTTCTTATTCTAAATCACAATATCATAGATATACAATCTCAAAGTTTCATGTACATATTGTAACTGGCTGGATCAGCTGTAGTGTGATTTGCCATATGTTTTAACCTACTTTTTAAGGAATCTGATACTGACAAAAAAATCACTTAAATTATAGCACATGGTTTAACTTATTCTTTTACTTTGCAAATATTAGGGTTTCTATTCAGTAAGCTCTTAGAGCCTACCTGGAAATTGTAGCACATGACAGCATTTGAAACTTACTGGCGTCAAATGAAAATTATACGAGGTCATTGTTTTGAGCTGTTTCTGTACTAGGCCCAACAGAACAAGCTAAAAATCAATATGAAGTCTCCCGTGTTAAAGTTTCAGGTCACCAAACCCAATCTAAATTGTTATCTGATCTTCTGAGAAAGATACTAACATCCAATTTCCCAAACCATCCAGTTTTAATCTTTTTTTTTTTTTTTTTGAGATGGAGTCTCGCTCTGTCACCCAGGCTGGAGTGCAGTGGCACGATCTTGGCTTACTGCAACCTCTGCCTCCCGGGTTCAAGCAATTCTCCTGTCTCAGACTCCCAAGTAGCTGGGATTACGGGAGCCCACTGCCTAACTAAATCTTGTATTTTTAGTAGAGATGGGGCTTCTCCATGTTGGCCACGGCGGTCTCCAACTCCTGACCACAAGTGATCTGCATGCCTTGGCTTCCCAAAGTGCTGGGATTACAGGCATGAGACACCGCCCCAGCCTCAATCTTTAATCAGCATGATAATGAGATTTCCCCTGCTTTAATTCTTACACAAAGAGGTAGCCTGAAGTAACCTGGTGTTAACTATTTAGTCACTTTCCTATTAATTTATCTCCCTGTCCCCACCTTATAAGAAAAATAACTTTAAAGAACTAATAACTCTTAGTTACAAATCATAAAATAATACAAAGCCAACTCTTTCTGCTCAGTAGTTCATTGGAACACTTATTCTGTTTTATAGAATGAAGTGTTACCTAATTCTAGATTTGAAAATAAAGCTAATTGAGGTCTTTAAACTAAATTTGTGAAATGGAAACCCATGCCAAATTTTGCATATGTTCAGCATGGTGTGGCTTGTAAGAAAATATTCAACATAATAATGATCTAAAATAGATATAAATTAATGCTAGGATTAGATGATATAACACAAAGAATTCTGATACACATATTTCCAATTTTTATCAAATCAAAACCTTCCTAAAACAAAACAAAACTATAGTGGAAGTAGTTAAAACAAAACATCTTTTGTTGATGATTTTTAACATACATTGATGTTTATTGCAGCATTAATATTACAGGAAAGAAGACTGGATCCAGACCCAAGAGAGGGTTCTTGTATCTCAGGCAAGAAAGAATTCTGGGCAAGTTCACAGAGGAAAATGAAAGCACATTTATTAAGAAAGTAAAGCAATAAAACAAAAACAATGGCTACTCCACAGACACAGCAGCTCTGAGGCTGCTGGATGGCTACTTTCAAGGTTATTTCTTGATTATATCCTAAATATGAGGTGGATTATTCATGAGTTTTCCAGGAAAGGGGCGGGGATTTCCTGGAACTGAGAGTTCTTTTTCCTTTTAGACCATATAGGGTAACTGCTGGACGTTGCCATGGCACCTATATACAGTCATGGTGCTGGTGGTAGTGTCTTTCAGCATGCTAATGCATTATAATTATCATATACTGAGCAGTGAGGACCACTAGCCGTCACTTTTCTTGCCATCTTGGTTTTGGCCAGCTTCTTTACTGCATCCTGTTTTATCAACAGGGTCTCCATGTCCTGTGTCTTGTGATACCAGTTCCTCTGGCCTCCTGTTTCATCCTGTGACTAAGAAAGCCTAACCTCTTGGGAATGCAGCTCAGTAGATCTCAGCCTTATTTTACCTGGCCTCTATTCAAGATGGAATCATTCTGGTTCCAACACCTCTGACATTAACACTCAAGATTAGATAAATTCCAGTATCAGTGGCATTTGCAGAACATAATCTTTAAAATATCTACTGTTTAGAAATAATACTTATAATATAAGAATAAAAGAAGGCCGGGCACGGTGGCTCACGCCTGT
Organism: Homo sapiens; assembly: GCF_000001405.40. Classification (NCBI taxonomy): domain Eukaryota; kingdom Metazoa; phylum Chordata; class Mammalia; order Primates; family Hominidae; genus Homo; species Homo sapiens. Next base: position 123,669,639 of record NC_000006.12, read on the forward strand.
AATCCCAGCACTTTGGGAGGCCAAGGCAGGTGGATCACTTGAGACCAGGAGTTCAAAACCAGCCTGGCCAACATGGTGAAATCTCATCTCTACTAAAAATTAAAATATACATATTAGCCAGACATGGTAGTGCACACCTCTAATCACAGCTATTCGAGTGGCTGAGACATGAGAATTGCTTGAACCCGGAGATGGAGGTTGCTGTGAGCCAAGATTGTGCTGCTGCACTCCAGCCTGGGTGACAGTACAAGGCTCTGTCTCAAAAAAAAAAAAAAAAAAAGAATATTCACAAATATATTGTGTCAAATCATGATTAAAATTATTTCTACAATGCGAATATTTTTCAAATGAATATACACATTCACATAGAAACAAAAGCTGATGGAAAATACATTACTGATTTAAAATATGTATCTCTCTATGAAGAGGATATAAATGACTTTCATTTAATTTCTACTATTTTGTTAGTTTTCTATAATGATCATACGTTGCTGATATGAAAAGAAAACTACAGAGAACATTATAAAGCAAAGAAATCATGTCAATTTTGATTCCTAAGTGTTTTACCTATATATTGAGGTTTATACAGAGTTCAATAAAATGTATTAAAGTTACCTTTTAAATAGTCTTTAAAAGTCATACTTTTTACATCAAATTAGACTTTCCTTATGACACAAAGCAGTTCATTACACTTGTAAATAGTATCAACGTTAGCACTTATAATTCTTTCCCCTTCCTCCCCAAAACCTCGGTGAGAATACTATTCAGTATCTGTATAAAGGATATAATTTATTTAAAAAAAATGTATCTCTTACTTTCCCTACTGAGAACTAGTCAACAGACAAACCCCCAGGGTGTCATTAAACAGATTATTTAGTTTTTTTATTTAAAAAGTTTAAAACAGAATGTAGAATTTCTCAAGATTGTTGGCAAGAGGAAATTATTTTAAAATTCTTTTCATAGTTCTTTGAAAGAAACATTTCTTCTCCAAAATATAATTGTTTCAATCTAGGATTATTTCAATTCAAGCAATAAGAATACCACACAGCTCAAAAAAGAGGTATTTATCTCAAGGATTCCAACCACTTTCTGAGAATCTAGAGCAGAAATCAGAGGCCAGTGTTGGGAAATGGAAGTGTAGAACCCACAGCCCATTTGCGTCCTGAAAGCCTTTACTCACAGGCTCTCTCTGAGCATCTACCTCTCGTTTCTTTCTCCTTCAGCTGATTTATGGTATCTGTTTGTCAAAGTACAATGGCCTCAAATGGCCTGACACATTTGTAGATTTTAAATTCTCCTGTATACTGAGTCCCAATCCTAAATTCTTGTGCTAAGAAGCTGATTTGCATAGCATGATTAAGCCTATCCCAGAGACATATCCCAGTGTGAAAGTAGTTTTTCAACAAAATGGGTAGTGCTTGCAGACATGCAGAATACTTCCGTAAGCATGACCATATGCTATAAAATGATGACCAGTGGGTAAAAGCAGGTACGATAAATGTATAATGTGTTCGTGTATGTGTGCATGTATGTGTGTATAATAGTTCATATAATTTACTCTTGGCAAGAATAAGGCCAACTCATCAATAATACTTATATGTCTTATATACAAACAAAAACACCAAAAATATAAACCCCAAAAATTCATAATTAAAGACAATAAAACTGATTTTCTAAATTTTCACTCTAAAATTGTACTTGTAAAAATTTTAGAGTTAGGAAACAAGGGGGATTAAAGTACAACTCTGGAGTTAAACTGCCTGAGTTTGAATCCTGACCATTTATTAGGTACAAGCTTTCCATACATCACCCAATTTCTCTGCCCTTCAATTTCTCCATCTGCTAAATGAGAATAATAATAGGCTCAGGGTTGTCCTGAGGATTAAAGAAGTTGCTATACGAAATGCTTAGACTTAGCATCTGCCACATAGAAATGTAATGTATTTTAATTATTAAAATTTGTTGTATGCTTTGTTTTCAGATGACCAAGCCCTCGAGTTTCTTTAGACATGGACTATTAAAATTGTTTGTGGCCATAAATTTGATTATATGAAGTTGTTTAATAATATAAACTTTGTAATTAACTGCTATCTGATATAAATATTAATTATAAAGAAAATATATATGCAGCACAAATATCACTAAATTAAATGCCTTACTTTTCATAATTTCTGACTATAAAATATATACTAATTTTAGATAATTTGGAAAATAATATATAATTAAGTAGCAGAGCAGATCACTGATAATCTCATCCCTCAGAGGAAATTACTGTTAAATTTTCTATTTAGTCTTTAAATCTATCCATATTTATAAATTAGTTGCAATCATTTATACAAATAGTTTTGCTTTTTCACTTGCCTCTTGCTTTTACATTTAATGCTAAATAAAGATTTAATAACATAAAACAATGATTGACATAATCACTTTATAATCATATTTTTATGGCTTGGTAAATAGTCCAAATTATGAATCATTTAAAACCAAGACACTTTCTAGGCTGTCATGGCTGGTTTGAAGTCACGGAAGTAATAAAAATATTTCTATTACTCACGAGGCTGAGGCAGTAGGATAGCTTGAGCCCAGAAGTTCGAGTCTAGTCTGAGCAACATATTGAGATCCTGTCTCTAGAAAAGTAATAATAATTGAACTAAACTTATTTAAGAATTGTTAACCCAGATTTCCAGGCTAGAAATCTTAGAAATAGATTGCAAACACAATCATCTTTAAAAAAACAATAAAAAGAAAATATTTATACACCTATAACAGTTATTTAACACCTAAGCCATAAAGTCTAAAAGAGCACTTTAGCTACAAGACTTAGCTTGTTCGCATTCTCAGAGGTTCTACAAGCACTTACACAGACAATATTTCTCTATAGCCTACCCACTTCCTGACCTGCTCAGTCAACATATATATGTCATCATATATATATGCACATATATATATTTCTAAATCACAACACTAATTACCTCTTTTAAATATTATCCCTTGCAGAAATATGAATTTTATGCATACTCAATCATCCTATGATATTTCTGTGTGAGGGAAAAAATTGATTAGAAGAGTAGAAATCTTCATATTAATGATTTCACTGATATAATTTATATATATATATATAATCTATATATGTTGTATTAGTTTTTCTTTGTTTCTATAACAAATTAAGTTCTCACTTAACAGCATCCATAGATTCTTGGAAGGTGCTTCTTTAAGGAACACAAGTGTAACAAAATGAATTTCACCATAGGCTAATTGATATAAATAAGAGTTGAGTTCTTGCAGCATATTTCTGGTCACAAAAACATCACCAAACTTCTAAATAAAGACCAAAACATTTCTCATATTAAACATTGAAATAAATGTGAAGTATACATACATGTAAGAAAAATTAGTAGAAAAAAATAAGATAATTATTTACTCAATTATTTCAGTTCAGAACAGCTCAGGGGCCAAGGCAGAAACCAGCCCTGGTCAGGACACCATTCATGATAGGGTCAGGATACACTCATGAACACACCCACACTCACTCAGGCTGGGACCACATAGACACAAAGATTCACTGAATGTGCACATCTTTGTGATATGAGAGGAAACTGGAATACCTGGAGGAAATTTCCTCAGACATGGAGAGAATATGCCAACTCCACACAGACAGTGGCTCTGGCCAGGAATTGACTTTTTCTTCATCAACATTATATTATATATATTTTTTCCTCATCAACATTATAATATAACAACATTGAATGAAACAATGTTTGCCATGCAAAGGACCAGTTGTCTACAGGTCTTTTGAAACCTACTACAAACTTGATGGCTTAAAACAACACAAACTTGTTATCTTAAGGTTCTAGAGGACAGAAGTCCAAAATCAGTTTTATAAGGCTAAAGTCAAGATGTTGGTAGAGTTTGTTCCTTCTGGAGGGTCTGAGGGGAAAATTGTTTCCTTGCCTTTTTTCAGCTTCTAGTGGCTATCCACGTTCCTTGACTTGTGGCCTTTCCTCCATCTTCAGAGGACATTGTTCTAACTACTGTTTCTGTCATCATATATAGCCTTCATCTCTAACTCTCACTCCTCTTGCATCTTTCTTATAATGACCTCTCTTGTTATGTTGGTCAACCTACCTAATACAGAATAATCTTCCCTCTCAAGATCCTTCATTTAATCACATCTATAACATCCCTTTTTCCATAAAGGTAATTTTCACAGACATGAGGATTCAAGTGTAGGCATATTTGAGGGCTGTTTTTTTACCTACTGTATTAGTCCATTTTCATGCTGTTGATATAGACATACCAAAGAATGGGCAATTTACAAAAGAAAGAGGTTTATTGGACTTACAGTTCCATGTGGCATGGGAGGCCTCACAAACATGGCAGAAGGTGAAAGTCACATCTCACATGGCAGCAGACAAGAGAAGAGAATGAGAGCCAAGCAGAACAGGTTTTCCCTTATCAAACCATCAGATCTCATGAAACTTGTTCACTACCATGAGAACAGTGTGGGAGAAACCACTCCCATGATTCAATTATCTCCCACTGGGTCCCTCCCACAACATATAGGAATTATGGGAGTACAATTCAAGATGAAATTTGGGTGGGGACACAGAGCCAAACCATATCATTCCACCCCTGACCCCTCCCAAATCTCATGTCCTCACATTTCAGAACCAATCATGCCTTCCCAATAGTTCCCTAAAGTCTTAACTTATTTCAGCATTAACTCAAAAGTCCACAGTCCAAAGTCTCATCTGAGACAAGGCAAGTCCGTTCTGCCTATGAGCCAGTAAAATCAAAAGCAAGTTTAATTACTTCCTAGATACAATGGGGGTACAAGTATTGGGTACATACAGCCATTCCAAATAGGAGAAATTGGCTGATACAAAGGGGCTACAAGCCCCATGCAAGTCCAAAATCCAGCAGGACAGTCAAACCTTAAAGCTCCAAAAGGATCTCTTTTGACTCCATGTCTCAGATTCAGGTCACGATGATGCAAAAGGTGGGCTCCCACGGCCTTGGGCAGCTCCACCCCTGTGGCTTTGCAGGGTATAGCCCCCCTCCTCGCTGTTTTCATGGGCTTCTGTTGAGTATCTGTGGCTTTTCCAGGCACACAGTGCAAGCTGTCAGTGGATCTACCATTCTGGGGTCTGGAGGACACTGGCCCTCTTCTCACAGCTCCACTAGGCAGTGTCCCAGTAGGGACTTTGTGTTGGGGGTTTCAACCCTACCTTTCCCTTCCACACTCCCCTATCAGAAATTCTCCATGGGAGTCCCACCCCTGCTGCAAACTTCTGCCTGGACATCCAGGCATTTCCATTCATCCTCTGAAATCTAGGTGGAGGTTTCCAAACCTCAGTTCTTGATTTCTGTGCACTGGCAGGCTCAACACCATGTGGAAGCTGCCAAGGCTTGGGGCTTCCACCCTCAGAAGCAACAGCCCAAGCCATACGTTGGCCCCTTACAGTCATGGCTAGAGTGGCTGGGACACAGAGCACCAAGTCCCTAGACTGCATACAGCAGAGGTACCCTGGAATGGCCCACAAAACCATTTTTTACTCCTAAAACTCCAGGCCTGTGATGGGAGGGACTGCCACAAAGGTCTCTGACATGCCCTGAAGACATTTTCCTCATTGTCTTGGTGATTAACATTTGGCTCCTCGTTACTTATGCAAATTTCTGCAGCTGGCTTGAATTTCTCCTCAGAAAATGGGATTTTCTTTTCTATCACATTGTTAGGCTGCAAATTTTCCAAACTTTTATGCTCCATTTCCGTTTTAAAACTCCATGCCTTTAACAGCACCCAAGTCATCTCTTATAAATGCTTTGCTGCTTAGAATTTTTTTTTTTTTGCTAGATACCCTATATCATCTCTCTCAAGTTCAAAGTTCCACAAATCTCTAGGGTGGGACAAAATGCTTCCAGTCTTTTTGCTAAAACACAACAAGAGTCACTTTTGCTTCAGTTCCCAAGTTCCTCTTCTCCATCTGAGACGACCTCAGCCTGGACCTTATTGTTCATATCACTATCAGCATTTTGGTCAAAGCCATTCAACAAGTCTCTAGGAAGTTCCAAACTTTCCCACATTTTCCTGTCTTCTTCTGAGCCGTTCAAACTATTCCAACCTCTGCCTGTTACCCAGTTCCAAAGTCACTTTCACATTTTTGGGTATCTTTTCAGCAGCACCCCACTCTACTAGTACCAATTTCCAGTATTAGTCTGTTTTCATGCTGTTGATAAAGACATACCAAAGACTAGGCAATTTACAAAAGAAAGAGGTTTATTGGACTTACAGTTCCACATGGTTGGGGAGGCCTCACAATCATGGCAGAAGGTGAAAGGCACATCTTACATGGTGGCTGACAAGAGAAGAGAATGTGAGCCAAGTGAAATGGGTCTTTCCTTATCAAACCATCAGAACTCATGAGACGAATTCACTACCACGAGAACAGTATGGGAGAAACTGCCCCCATGATTCAATTATCTTTCACTGGGTCTCTTCCACAATATGTAAGAATTATGGGAGTACAGTTCAAGATGAGATTTGGTTGGGGACACAGAGCCAAACCATATCACCTATATGTTTAGTGGCTCATGCCCTTAGCTAAACTGTATGGTATATTTATGACCTCTTTCTATAATTATCATATTTGATTCTTATCTTGGTATTATCCATATCTTCACCTCGATTATTGTTTTTGTTCTACCAAATGTGAATTTTTAATTCATACACCACAACCAAAAACAAGTCCCACAAAACATGATCAAATGCAACAATGCCATACATATTTTTGCATTTTGGAGCACTTGAAAATAGCAGCAAACTACTTTTGTCTAAGTATTCAACTATTTTATATTGTAAAATAATAAAAGTTTTAAACTAGCTTAATCTGTTTCTATTATGCAATCTCATATTTTTTCAATTTTATTGTTTTTAAGTGGCTTATGAATGTTTATCTTTTTTGCATATGTATGTAATAATCTCCATATCCTTATTTAATAAAGCTGTAGTTTTAAACAAAAATTATAATAAATTCAAGTACACCAGTCTCAAAAGTCCATCCTGTGGGTATCTCTGTAACCCACAAGTTAAAAAATAATTTATTAAGAGTTATCAGGACGATTCTCAAACACTTCAGTAGTTTTCTTCTATAAAAACTACTCCAAAAAGAAAAGAAAATGATAATTAAAGTACATAATAGCCTGTTTGTGACATATAAAGACTATGACATACTGACAAAGACAGAGCAATGCAAACAAGTGATTATTCCTTTTCTAACTTTTCTATTCTTTCAAAAATATTGCAAGTGTCTCAAGAAGTGTGTAGGGAAGATTTGTGGAGAACAGGTGATGCAATACTTGGGTAAATGAACAAACTTTCGGAATAGCATCAGACTTAGAATGTTCTTGAGAATGCTTTGAATTTGGGTCTTTAATTCTGCCAAGTTCTTCAATGTCTGTGCATTTGTTTAATACTTATGAAAGAAAAAAAACATGGCATTTTTCTGGCAGTTAATATTTAAATTCACCTCAGAGATATTTTCCCCACCAAAGACAGCCATTTGCTGACATTTCGATTCAGGTATTTGTAATTGCAGACAATTGGTACCTAAATGAGTTGTGACAACTGGAAGAAAAACTTCTGTTTTAAAAATTTTCTTTCACATGTCAAATCATTTCATTACTTAATTTCCAATGACAAATCTAATGGCATTTTTCATCGTGATAAAAGTAACACAATCCAGAAACTGGTTTTTTGACATGCAATGTATTTTGACATAAATCAAAAGACTTATTAAGTTTTTAAATCACATTACATTGTGTGTGTCTTGTTCATTGTTTCTCTGTTGCTAGATATCTATGATATATAACGTCTATTCAAAATATCTGAAAACTCTCACTTTTCTAAGAAAACATGTTTGATGGTTATTTATTTTGTAGAGAAAAGTTTATTCACTTAGAATTCCCTGGAGGTGGGTAGAGAGTGTGGACAGTTGAAAAGTCCCTCTGGCTGCAAGGTTATCCCTACTGGGAATTAATTGCAGTGCACAAGCTTGACGATAAATTCTAATATTATGTATAGCAAGGAAGTTTCCATACCAGGAGTGGGGCTTTTATATGGTTATGAATATGATGAAGAGACAAGCCACAATAAAGAGAAAAAGCAAAGTTGGAAGTCAACTAGAGGAGTGAATCAATACACTTTGTAAGTTACTCCATCTGTTACCTCATCTTGCAGATATTCAGTTAAATCACTAAAATCACAATGTGTTCGAGACAGAGTTTCTGATGAGGTCAGTAAAAGGCAGGATCCAGGTCAGTCTATTTAAGCTCAGGGACGGAGATAACTGGGGAGCTGAGGAAGTAAGATGAAATGGGTGAACTTAAAGTGAGCTCTCACATACCCTTTGCTGTTGGTGCCTGTGAAATGGCACATGGCCTAGGTATGTGTAGGGACTAAATTCAGCAAGAAGCCATGTGCCCTGACTCAGCACTCCGTCAGCCTGCTACAAGAAGAAACCGTTCTACCTCTGGCTTACACTTGGTGTAAGGATTTTTGAAAAAACTACCAGAATTAGGAATTAAAATAACCAATTTAGAACTATATCAAGAGTTCACCCACCTCTTTGTTTAATGTATAGTCCTTGGAATACCACTTAGTAGTCAACAAAGTTGTTGGAATTATTCTGAGAGTATTATAGAATTACAGCCTTTGGCGGATGAAATATTTTAGATTAAGTGATTCAGAGAAGTAAGAAAGTTTACTGTATGACTTCTGAAGTGAGTACATCAACTAGAAAATTTCAGGCTGGAGTTTGGATTTCAATCCATCCTTCACTGACATGAACTTCCTTAAGAAATTAGAGTCTTTTCTGGAAGGGGAAAATTAGTTCATTGTGGCAGATGATGATTTTTGGACTTATAATGATCTCTGTCACACTTCACCTGATAAAACAGTGGTCCCTTGGGGCTGAAAAGCCAAAGTGTAGCTGGCTGCTGGGACAATTTTTCAGAGCTAAAAATTCATAGGAATCCTAGCAGGGAATTCAGTGCCAGAGACCTGAGAATGTAGGATTGAGAGTCATACTTGTAACAAACTCCTAAAATATTAAAGGTAGCTCTCAGAAAAGGAAAAAAAAAAAAAGATTATGGTGGTCAACAGACAACTCTGAATAATCTAAAAGCCATTGAAGTGTTCATTTTTAGATGACTAAATCATATGGTATATGAATTATATCTTAACACACTTTTTAAAAGTGAAGAAGCAATGACCATTACTAGCAAGTTGCAGGATCTGGCAGTAGTATGTGTAGACTTAAAGCCTTGAACTATGCATTAAGTAACTTTCAAAGAAAATAAAATGTAATAACATTAAAAAATTAAGGCCAATGAGAAAAAAGTGCTGTAGGATAAATACATAGGAAAAAAATTACCATAGAAACATATGAAATAATAATAACACTTATATAGTACTTATTTTATGCCAGACTATTCTAAATGCTTTGTATGTAATAAATTATTTAATCCTCACAGCAATGCTGTGAATTAGATACCATCATTATTTCCACTTTATTGATGTGGGAACTAAGGCTCAGAAGGGTTAAGATATTTCCTAAGAATATATAGAACATACAGATATTTGTTAAGAACATACATATGGATGCTAAGCATATATATTTGCTTAGCAAGTAGAATAGCTAAGACTTGAACTCTGAGTTTCTAGGTCTAGAATCTTCCTGTAATCACTGTGTATATTATATAAGGTAATACTAGGTGCTATATAGACAAAATGCAAAAGTTTATTAGCTTGAAATAATAGAAATTTATTTCTCACTCATATCAAATGTAGTATGAGTTTTCTTGTTTCAAGACAGCTTTCCTTCTCATGCTCCTTTGATCCTGTGGTTCTGCAATCTTCAGCATTCAGATCAAGGTGGCTGTATTCATTTTCAAGCCAGAGAATGGAAGGAATAAGAAGTATGGCACATGAATGTTATTATGATCCAGCTGTGGAAGTAACATCACTTTCATTCACATTCTATTGGCACTCGGTCACATGACTACATTTAACCACAAGACAGGTTGGAAAGTATGTACTATCTGTGCGCCCAGGAAAACAGGTAATGATCAGGTGCTCAACCTACAGTCTCCGTCACTATGCTGAACTTTGACTTGTGACTGAATATCTATCTTGAAATATGCCTCTTCTCTGAGAAAATCTCTTTCCCTTGTCCCAAAATTAGGGTCAGGCAATGAGAGATTCTAGTAACACCAACCATTCTGGTTTGCCCTCAGGACCTAGGATTTTCCATTTTAAAACTGGGATAGTTTTGGGCAAATCAACTCCAAGACAATTAGGCTAGTGTTTACTTCTTCCTCCTTGGTATGACTAGATTCTTAGTGGAAGCAAAAAACATGGCAGAGTTTTGCCTGTTGGATGGTGGAGAATGAATCTAGCTGGGTGTTCTGTGTAGGCATGGGAATGGAGTCAGAGGGTTTAATAATGGAGCCATTTGTGAAACATAAATCTCATTCGCTAAGGGCCAGGGAAATCTCAGTAAATACCTCCATGCAAAGGGATTCCATTCATGGGTTCCTTTTGTTTCTATCTTGCCAAATATTTAAGTAATTTCAAAGCAGTTATAAACCATCTTATTTTCTCAGTCCCAGCTTCTCGATTCCTTGTATCCACTTATTTTTATAATAAGCTGTCAACAAAACAGGAATTAAATCTATACATAATAAAAGTGAAATGACAACAATAAATGAGAGGTGAAGTAAGACTTTAAACAGTTCATGTTCTTCCTCTTTGTTTTAGGATAATTTTTTAAGTCATCTGAAACAAAGTTAAATGATCAGTAAACCTTTAGAATTACCAAAAAAAAAAATTATTCTAACTAGCTTTGGGAAAATATAGAACCCATCTCCGTCCTCATTGGCATGGTTCTTCTATGTGCCCTAAAAATGATGAAGTTTGATTTCTTAGGTTACTGACTAAACCTCTTGTCAGCAAGCCTCAGACAGTAAAGATTTATTGGGCATTTATATGTAATTTCTGTAATGTGTACATCGTTTTAAATTGAGACACACTCAGATGTTATTAAATGTTATTTTACAATGTATTTTGATAAGACAAAATATTCAATAAGGTATAATTCTCCTTTCTAAAGGTTACCATGAAACACAGTGCCAACATTTCAAGATTTTGTAAACAGTATTTGTAACTATTATTTTGAGTACTTGAAAATGTGCATTTTGCCACTTGTTTTTAGTCTTTTTATTAGTTTTTCCCTTATAAATGTGAATTATATTTTATCAAGTATTTATCTGTGACCTAAATGCACTGGGTTTTTCAGACACACATGTCTGCAAGATATAAGATATTCTGAAGTATTAATATACCAATAAATTATTTAAAACATTTATGTAGGATTTTATTCTGAAAAACAAACATATTTGCACAGTCCTTCCTAGAGCCATTAATCTTTCAGTCTTTGACCGGTCTGGAAAAAGAGAATTCCATTATATTGTAAGTTTGTAAGGTTCTGGGTATAAAACTTAATTTGCAGGTCCATCAGTGCTATTCACTCAGCTCCAGGAAGAGTCATACCCTAGTTAGAAAACTCAGTGGAAAAAAAAAAACTGAAACCATTTCTGATTAACACTTAATCTGCCTTTAAACCAAATAAAGGTAAACTTGAGAACCATAGAAGGTATGAACCTTCAAAGTAAACAAAGATTTACACTTAAGAATACACACACACACACACACACATATATAAATGTATTTTTCTTTTACAAAAAGAAAAGCATTGGTGCAGTGTTTGGAAGTTGAGAGGAAAAATCACAGATGTACCAAAAACCACCATATGCCCAAGGTCAGTAAATTTTTAAAATGTTCACGATAAAAAATAGTTTGGAGTACTCAAATCTCTCAGGTTCTTTGATATACTATTTTGGAGGAAATATATATTTTTATATATATATATATATTTATATATATATATATATATTCTTGGTGCAAAATATAGATTCGAAATACATCTCTAACCATAAATAATAACAGAGATATCCAGAAACTCAGGAGAAAAATTACCCTTTTGTAATTGATTAAAGAGCATTTCTTTATGTTACAATGATAATTTTCTGTTGTTTTTCCAAAATTATCAAGGTCAATAACAAACTGGAATCAGCATTAATCATCAGAGGATCTTCAGAAATTTTGATTAACATCAGTAGAGTAAGTTCTTTTTAAAATGAAAGTAGAGTTATGAGGCTCACTGTTTGCTAATAAGAAAAGGGGATTGCAACTTCATTTGTTCTACTTGTATTTTTCTTGATGGTAGACTTGAGATAACCACAGCTGAGAATATGTTGCTTCCGAATTCAAATAGGCAGGTGAACCATATCTTCCCCATCTGATAGTCATTCTATTTCTTTATTGATATTGATGTCTCTTTTTAAATAGCAAGTCACATTAGTGTCTCTTTTCCCTCCACAAAAGATAGGCTTTCACATGTCAGATGTGTAAAGATAGGCTTTCATATGTCACATGAGGATTACTGCTGATCTGTAATCCTCAGTGAGCAGAGCCCTGGTAACTTAAGGGTTTTACACCTGCCTCTAATTTAATCACCTACTGTGACTGTTGCTCAACACCAAAATAACTCAAGTAGTCTTCATCTGCCAGGGGGAAAAAAAGTTGAATTCTTAAAGAGGAAGCTTACTAGGAGAATTTCAACCACCCTGACACATCTCTAAGAAAAAAAAAGAACCTAAAAGCTATTTTTCAAGTGATTAACACTGATTAATTCACAACTAAAAAGATCATTTGCATAATTTTAGAATATACAATTAACACCATGATTTCTCTGAACACTTCAGACATAAAGAGTTTAGTTTTTCGAGGTTTTCTCCCCCTGAATCAATTTACTATTTATACCAATACTTAAGGTAGCTAAATCAAGATGGTGGTGGTCTGAGAAATGCTGAAGAAGGTTGGAAAGTGTGGATGTTAAATAAGGGGCTTTGGAGTCACAGATCTGAGTTTTAAATTTGGCCCCATACCTACTGTGTAACCTTGGATAAGTCATTTAATCTCTCCAAGACTTTCTTTTCTTATCTGTAAATTAGGGATCAAATTCCAACCTCAGAAAGTTTACTAATTATTAATAGCATAATATAGGTTACACATTTAGCCTAGGAGTACATTAGTAATTAGTTCTCCTATAATTATTGCCATAATGCTAATAATTTTTAATGTTTTTATAATTGCCTTAAGATAGATTTCAAGGTCATGCTACATTTATAGAGCACTTAGTATTTTATTGAGTATCACAAATGGTAAACTGTAGAGGGAGTGAGAGGTGAGATGGAAACAGAAACTGGAGAGCTTGTCTTTCTAGAATGTCTCCTCGCTTCTCAAAAGTATGTGCCTAATCATAGTGGTAATAAAAATTCATACTTGACGAAGTCTTTTGTATACATATCTCTGTTTAAGTTAGCATATAACTAGGCTAGCCTTACTGAGAAGATTGGGTAAACAACAACAAAAAATCAACAAAAGTTACATGGAGCTAACAAAGCAGAGAAGAGATGGTGTGGCAGGGAAGTTGCTACCTCAGCACAAACTCTATAAATATTATAATTAGCAATAGTAAATGGGTGCTAACAATAATAGGAGATATTTATTGACGGCCTATCTGAGGCAGACCCAGGTTTAGTGAGCCCTAAAATTCACATGATTTGTGGGGCTATTTGCAAGAAAAAAAAAACACAAAAATACAAACACAATTTTAGAGCTTTGAAAGGTGTCCATGCAGTTGAGGGTCCTGACGCTTAAGTGTTGTTAGCTTTTTAGTAAATTCACTTCTGGTGCTTACTATATGTACAGTACTATTTCTACTAGTCAGTGAAGAAGATGCTGTAGCAAATGATACAAAGTAAGACAGCCTCAGTCCAAATCCTGACTCTATTCCACGCAGTATCTCAATTTGGGCAAGTTTCATTCTTTCTTTTATTTTCCTCTTTGAGCCTAATTTCCTTATTTCAAAGTGAGGATAATGATTTGTGGGTAACTATGCTGTGGTTAGATTGAAAAAAAATTATAAAGTGAGTGATAAGTAAATTTCATCATTGTTATTATTATTATTAATAGATTTTGTTTTGTTTTTGAGATGGAATCTCGCTCTGTTGCCCAGGCTGGAGTTCAGTGGCGCAATCTTGGCTCACTGTCACCTCTGCCTCCAGGGTTCAAGCAATTCTCCTCTCTCAGCCTCCCGAGTAGCTGAGATTACAGGCACCCGCCACCATGCCTGGCCAATCTTTGTATTTTTAGTGGGGAAGGGGTTTTACCCTCGCTGGCCAGGCTGGTCTTGAACTTCTGATCTCAGGTGATCCACCTGCCTCGGCCTTCCAAAGTGCTGAGATTACAGGTGTGAGCCACCACATCTGGCCCTATTAATAGTTTTTAATCATCGTTTTATTAACAAGTAAAACAAATTATGTAATTTGACCACCATCAGATATAGACAATGCGTAAAAGCAGATTCCATCCCAAATTTGTTAGGTGGCAAAGTGCATGCTCCTAACTACTATATAACACTCTACTATCTTCAAACTCAGAGTAGAAGTGGATCTTCTGAAAATATCTAAAACTTTGAAGAGAAATGATAATGATATGGTTATTTTCGCGTTCTTTCTTGTTGATGTATAGTTTCCAAAAAGAACTAAACCCTAGAGAGTATAGTAGCAAATGCTAATTTACATTCTCAATTCAAGAACCAAGGCCAATTCCACATACAAAAAATATATGGTTATAGACATGCTTAGAGAAAATTCAAATACTGCACTACCACTGAGGAGGTCTTCTTGAATCTCTGTGTATTCATAAATTTCAGTGAGGTCCACGGCACTTCTTCAACATTTTTGTTCCATTAAGGGAAATAGCTATAGTCCTAAATATGCTTGCTTAGAAAATTGGCACAAAATATTTAAAATTGTAAAAATATTAAAATTTTAAGATTTCTCCATCTTGAGATTGATGCAAAGAAAGTATGAGAATGTATCTGGCTGCGGTATAATAAAAACACCTTGCCCAGTTCAAATCCACTAAGGAATTTTGCATTCTCAAACTTCAATATTGATTGTCAAATAGACCAAAAGTAAATACCCTATATGCTTGTAAGATTATATGACCTATTAGGAAAGAAAGAGTGAGATTTGTGAAGTGTAGAGGCTTTCACAAAGTCTGGGATACTTATAAGTATCTGTTATAACAAACAGTCATAAATTCATCTTGAAATCTATAGGTTAAAATGATTTAAAGCTTTCCAATTTATGTGACTTGTTTCTGTATACAAATTAACCTTATTTCTGAAGTTTGATTAAATTTTTGTATACATAGACTTCCATCAAGAAATTATTGAAATATTGGTCAACGAAAAGAGATACCAGTAAATCTAAAGAGAAACTCAGCATGAGGCCCGTTTCCTTTTATTCTAGAGGGATAGAAAGGTTGATGGCAGCACAAGGCTTTGGAACGAGACTATCTAAGTTCAAATCTGGACCCCACCACTCTCAAGATCCCTCACTCTTTACTACTTATGCAAATTGAGGAAGTTATTTAATGTCTGCTTGTGAGCAGGTTTCTTTAATCTCTAAAATGAATCTTATAACAAATGGACCTCACTGAGTTGTTCGAAGGTCAAATCAGTAAATGTATGTGATGTGTTTACAGCAGTACCTGACACAGGGCTGAACACTCAATAATTATAAGCTCTACTGTCTATTTTGCTACTTTAAATATATTGTTCTTTCCATAAACTACCCTAAAATAAACAAGTAAAATGCAGTTATATGATCAACATTCCAGGTATTTGCTTTGGATGGTTCTGTGTTTATCCTCTCTCTATTTATAAGAGGTTACTTATAAGAAAAAGAACACAAAATAAATACAACTTTAGAGCTTTGAAAGGTGTCCATGCAGTTGAGGGTCCTGACCCTTAAGTGTTATTGGCTTTTTGATAAATTCACTTCTGGTGCTTACTGTAGGTAGTCCTGCCTCTACAAGTCAGTAAAGAAGATGCGATAGCAAATAATACAAAGTCAGACAGCCTCAGCAGCTCCTTGATCATCTTGCTTCTAGGTTCTCAGACTCTCTTATCCTGCTTCCATCTTCTGGGACGGCACATTTAGCTTCTGATCTTGGCTTCCAAATCAACTCTAGTTGTACATTTTTGCCCATTTTTTTCTCCCAAAGTCTCTTAAGAATTCTGATAGCAAAGACCCCAATCTGGCTTTCCAGGTGTTCTAATGCTTAGCAAGCCTCTCTATCTATTACACTCACCACCCCTAACCAGAAGAGCTTCAAGTATGTTTTTAAAAATACAAGGATGATTAAGACCTCTTACTGTAAAAGCTCAATTTAAGAGTACCCGAGGAAGACAAAAACTGTTTACTCCCCAAATGCAGATCACACTAGAAGAGAGAAAAACCTCCTCCGATATATGGTTTGAAATAGTTTGAGTTCTGCCATTATGAATAATGACCACTCTATAGTATATCACCATCTAGCAAGGAGTACCAACCATCTAGCAAGGAAAACATGGAACGCAGACCTAAGGCACATAAAAAACTAGTGCAAAATATATGTCCAAAGGAGAATGAAATAGAAGGACTAGCTAGTCTTGGATTCGGTATTTAATATAAAACTAGAGTAATCAAGATAATTTTCTACTGGTGAAAAGGTAGCTATATTGCAATGAAACAGAATAGAGTGCAGAAATAGATTCATACATCTGTGGTCAATTATATTATGACAAAATATCAGGTGATTCAATGGGGAAAAGGAATATCTTTTCAACAAATGGTGCTGGATCAACTATATGTCTATGTATAATTTAGAAAGAACATCACTCCAACTTCACATCATACCTAAAGTTGAAAAAAAATTTCTAGAAGAAAACATATTTTTTTAGAACAACAACAAAAAAGCATAAGCCATAAAATAATAATATATTGAATTTTTATCAAAATTTAAAACTATTGCTCTTCAAAAGACACCATTAAGAAAATAATGCACACTGGAAGAAAATATTCATAATACATATGTCACACAAAGTACCTGAATGCAGAATAAAGAACCCTTGTAACTCAATAATATGACAAAAAAAAAACCTAAATAATGGTCAAAAAAAACTAAGCACAGAATTTACAACAGAAGATGTACAATAAGCACATAAAAACATCTTCAAAACTATTAGTCATCACAGAAATTCAAATTAAAACTACAATAAAATATCATTACATGACTATTACAATGGCAAAAGAACTGACCATACCAAGTGCTGGCAAAAATATGAAGAAACGGGAACTCTCACGTATTGTTGGGCAGAATGTAAAGTGGCCTAGGCACTTTGCAAAACAGTTTTTCAGTTTCTTAAAAAGTTAAAAAAAAAAACCTATATAAATAATTCTCCATACAAAGACTTGTATAACCATGACCATTGTGGTTTTATTTGAAATAGTCCAAAACTGGAAGTGTTTCAAATGTCCATCAATAGGTATATGGATAAACAAATTGTAATATATTGATTCAATGCACTACTGCTTAAAAACTAAAAGAAATAACTGTTCATAGATGTAACAATGTGGATGAATCCCAAAATTATTATGTTAAGTTAAAGTAACCAGATAAAAAGCAGTACACACTGCATGATAACATTTACATAAGCCTCTAGAAAATGTAAACTATCTATAGTGACAGAAGTATAGTTGTTGTAGAGAAAAATTGCAGGTGGGGGTTTAGCCAAAATATTCCCTTATTGATTGTAGTAATGAATTCATAGGTGCATATGTATGTCAAAACTCATGAAATTATATACCTTAAATATGTTAAGTTTCCTGTACATCAGTTCTACTTCCATACATTTGTAAAAAAAAAAAAACTTTAGAAAAATTTTGCCCATGTTTTACTGCCTCCTTCTGATGGTAAAGTAGAAGTTAAGAATAAAACTACTAAAACTGGTAGTGCATGTATATAAAGCAGAAAGCCTGATGGAGGTTTTTCCCTTTCTTCTCCAAGATATAAAAATGGCTCTTGAAGAGGCTGGTTCAGGGCTAGGGGGTTGGAGTAGAATAGGAGGGAATGATATGATTTAAGATAGCTCTCTAAGGATGCATTGACAATCCGTTTTTGCAGAGAAAACTAGAACAGTGCATTGTGAGAAGACTAGGAAGAGAAGTGAGTGTGAATCCAAAAGATATTCAGGTAAAGACAATAGGAAAAAAAAATTGGAGTATTGTGAGACTTTGGCCCCATCTCTGACAGTCATCCAAAATTCAGTCTGTGGCCCAAAGAGTGCCAGATCTCATAGCTTAGAAGAACTCTGTGATGAGTCAATATTCAAGTGGCTGGGAATGCACCCAAATAACCAACATAGACCCCAAAGCAAGGGAACAACTGGTCTGACCAGACTGCTCATCACGTGGGTAGAACCATCACAACACCTGAGCCTCAAAACTTCACCCTGCTATGGTGTGAGTAGATCACTACCTGATTGATTCTCTGGGTCAAACAAGTCAAATTGCTGGGCTACCTCCAGAAGTCATATTCCTATCATATCCCAGGATGCTTACAGATGCTCTAGGAATTATTGGGCAGATATCAGGGTGGTGGAAGAGAAAGTTTAAATTCTCGTGTATTAGGACCAAACTGGGAAAATCTAGGAGTATTCTAAACTTAGAACAGAGGGGTCACCTATTGAATTAATATTTAAAATAAATTATATAAAACTATATACATTTTAGATAAATTATATAAAACTATAAATAGTTTTTCAATACAGGAACAGAAAACCAAATACTGCATGTTCTCTTATAAGTAGAAGCTAAATGATGAAAACACATGGACTCAGAGGGAAATAACTCACAGTGGGGCCTTTCAGTGGGTGAAGGGTGGGAAGAGGGAGAGGATCAGGAAAAACAACTAACGGATACTAAACTTAATACCTGGATGATGAAATAATTTGTACAACAAACCCCCATAACACAAGTTTACCTATATAACAAACCTGCACTTGTAACCCTGAACTTAAAAGTTAAAAAAAGAAAATGAAACTATATATAGGTTTTCAACCTGTAGTGTTACTTTAATTCCTTCTAGTTGCTATTTCTGCTATCTTCATAAACTACTGATTTAGGTAGACATCTGGATCAGACAGACTTATTCAACTGGCCAATTGAAATTAAGAATCCAATGGTCCAAATGGCCTAACCAAGTAAGCAGCACACCTTGAAGATTCCTGTCTGATGTAGACTTACTCCTGTCTAGTTCTATTTCAGCTCACATTTCACCACTGAACAATTGTTCCACCTTTTTAGCTACAGAGCACTCACTCTTCTGGGTTAAAGTTATTTTGTTTAAGAACTTGGAAGATTCTATTTTCAGTAGGATTAACTTATGCTTATTAGTTTATTATTCCTGAAGGTTTCTATCTTTGCAATGAAAACACACAAGCACACACGTATATACAAACACACACACAAATCCACCTAAGGAAGTTCTGTAGAACAAACTGATGGGATGAAACATAAAAAGACACCAGTCATCCAGAAAGAAATATACACATCGCAGTGGGTGAAAAAAATTTGAAATTAGAACTCTTGAGTAACAAACCTTGAATAAAGGTAGAATGTATTGTTTCTGTGGTTTTACCTCTTCAGAACAATAATTTCATACTTTTATTTTATTTTATGTTACTATGGGTTTGTTTTAAAAGAACCATTAGAAGTTTCTTATCACAAAAGCTAATATAAATGAAAATACAAAACAAAGGAATAATCCTATTCTCATAGTTATGTTTACATCAAAATTCTATTGGCTTTGAAGCATAGTTGAAGTGTTATTTTACTTCAATTAAATATAGTATCACTTAAATATGGTTTCCAAAACTGGGCTAATGTGCTGTTGACCACTCAAATTCACTAATGACAGAACATTGTTTTGAAAAATGCATGGGGATTTAGATGTACACAAAAGTGATCATTTTAACTCTAAATTTCATTGTCTGTGTGATCGTGGGCAAGCTCATTATTTTTTTTGAATCTCATTCACAATACTGGGATATTAATACTTATATTAGGAGATTTGTGAAATTTTAAAGGGATAATATATAAAAATTACGCCAGGTGTTGCCTTCTCTTACATCCAGAATTCAGATTTTTGTTTTTAAAATATTTGTTGAGGAATTTTTATGCTGGAGAATTAGAATAAATTCATTTTTAGAGACAATAGAAAGACCAGCATGTGTAGTTACCTCTATCATTCATCATCAGACATCAATGAACATTTGTGTTCTTTTCTCTTGTCTCAGAGATTAAGTGGCTATGTTGCTTCTCTCTTCATAATTAGAAAGGTAGACATAGATATTCTTCTGCTATTTTTAAAACTGCACCAAGATGATAAGAAATATACAGATACTCCTAGTGGTAAAATGCTCAGCCTCTAAAGTCAGCCTCCTGGAACTGAAACCAGCTATACCATGTATTAACTCTGTGACCTTGGGCGATTTTCTCAGTGACTTAGTTTCTCATCTCTAAAATACGTAAGATTATTTTTGGGTTAAATTTGTTAACATATGAAGAACAATGCCAGGCACTAAGCAAGTACTCAAAAAATAATTGCTATTATTATTTCTCTTGTAGATTTCTTACCCTCAAGCCAACAATTAGCTTTCACTTGAAAAAGGAATCTAATATCCTGTTTCCATTCTTGATATTAGAAACATTGATGTAGAGAGGGGATACTAAGTGTGCAACTCTCTGCCCTCAAGCTTCATTATTCATTCATTGGGGAAGAGGAGAAGCAAAATAGACTTTCAAAGGGAAAACATGTTGATGAACACAAATACTATTTTGCCATGGTAATGTGGAAATTATTATAATTTGTTTGCTTGTTTTTTAGTTTTGTGATGTTCAGAAATAAAGTAATAGAAAAGGCCATGGGTACTAGTTTGAGAGCAATTGAAAAGTGGGGAGAAGGGAGGGAAAAGCTGCCTCTCTATATTTAACAAAACAATATTTCTGGGGGTAAAAGGTGAGGAAGGAGTGAGGCGACTAGTTGTGATTCTTCTTTTGTACACTCTATTTTCTACCCATCAGTATGTTCTGTCAGCTCTTCCTCCAAATATATTCCAAATTTGCACCTTCTCATTGTCTTTGTTAATTGCATCTGTGGTCCTATTTTTGTATAATCCTGTGGACTTCAGTAGCTCCACTGAGCTATTCTTCCTGTCTATTCTTGACCCCAGAGTGTATTGCCACACAGCAGCCTGAATGATCTGTCTCAAGTGTACATTAGATCACCTAATCACCCTTGTAAAAGCTCCAGTGGCTGCCAGTTACAGAATAAAAATCTAAACTGTGAAATTCTGTTTCCTGAGTGAGGGCTTTTGCACTTGCTGGTCTTCTTACTTCTAACAGTCTCTCCCAGACTTGTCATGCAACTGCCCGTGTCTCATTATTTAGATCTTTGTTGAAAGGCACCTTGTCAGAGAGGATTTTTCTAACCATCCTACCCAAAGTGTCTTTCCCTACTATTTTTATCTTCTTCATAATACTTCTCTGTACCTGAAATCATCTTATTTATTTTCAGGTTCACCTTCTGTCCCCTTCAACTAGTCAAGCTGCTTGGAAAGAGGGCCAGTCTGCTTTAGTCCTGTATCCCCAACACCTGAAAACAATAGCTATTTGTAGCTTGACTTACTCATAGCCAGGTACCAGGAGCCTGGGAATGGCCACCTCTCAAGGTTAGAACTATTACATCATTGCTGGCCAGGCTCCTCTGGGCTTTACTGGCTCTTCCACCCTTTTTTTTTTTGAAACGGAGTCTCGGCTCTGTCACCCAGGCTGCAGTGCAATGGCGCGATCCGCCTCCCGGGTTCACGCCATTCCCCTACCTCAGCCTCCCGAGTAGCTGGGACTACAGGCGCCCGCCAGCACACCCGGCTAATTTTTTGTATTTTCAGTAGAGACGGGGTTTCACCATGATAGCCAGGATGGTCTCGATCTCCTGACCTCGTGATCCACCCGCCTCGGCCTCCCAAAGTGCTAGGATTACAGGCGTGAGCCACCGCACCCGGCCACTGGCTCTTCCACTCTTAGACATCATTTTAGAACCTAATAATTACTTTTAAAATGAATCTTGTGTCACTTGTAAGGAGATAAATTTTAAAAGTATGTACTCTCTTAAAAATTATACAAAAAACTGTAACACAAATCAGATGGATCCCAACGTTTCTGTATCCCTGACCTACTAGTTACCCCTATTCTTGACTAAGGCTTATGACAGGGGCATGAAACATCACATTGAAACATACCTGTAAGTCAAATCTATTTTCAGAGATTACAAAGGGAATGTTTATATGGTAATTAAATTTTTCCCAAAATATTTTATTGTCTCTTTATCAATAAAAACCATATCTGTTTGCTGTATCTACCCAGGCAAAGCTAAGCATAAAATGAAATTTTTTTTTAGTTTTATATATATATGTACATATATGCGCATATATGTGCATATATGCGCATATATGTACATAGTTTTACATATACACACATAGTTTTACATATATATGTAGAACTAAAAAAAATTTTTATTTTATGCCTATAGATATATATACACACACACCATATATTATATATATATGTATATATGGTGTGTGTGTGTGTGTGTGTGTGTGTCGCATGTGTGTATGTATCTTTCTCTTGAAATTGTCAAACTGTTGAGGCAGTACACACACACACACAGATACAGGTATGTATATTCAAATTATAAAATTCCACTTCAACTTACAGCATACACGGACACATAACCAGTGACTATATTACTGGGCCATTCTTCTGAAGTAAACCCTATGCAAAGACAAAATTGTGTCAATCCTCTTTCATAGAATTTTTTTTTTTCATTTTATTTGAGACAGAGTCTCATTGTTGCCCCGGCTGGAATGCAGTGGCATGATTTGGATTGAAGCAATACTCCCACCTCAGCCTCCTGAGTAACTGGGATCACAGGTGTGCACCACCATGCCTGGCTAATTTTTTTTTGTTATTTTTGGGAGAAATGGGGTTTCACTGTATTTCCCAGGCTGGTCTCAAACTCATGAACTCTCGTGATTCACCCACCTCGGCCTCCCAAAGTGCTGGGATTACAGTCATGAGCCACTGTGCCCAGCCTTATAAAAATATTTTTAGTTACTTAACATCTAAAGGAGTTTTGTTTTGTTTGTTTTCTTGTTTTTAAAGAGGTGAAGTCTTCCCATGCTGCCCAGGGTGGAGTGCAGTGGCTATTCACAGGCATGATCATGGCACATTACAGCCTCGAATTCCTGGCCTTAAGGGATCCTCCTACCTCAACCTCCCAAGTAGACTACAGGAGTGTACTATTGTGCCTGGCTCAAAACAGTCTTTCTAACCCATTAAGAGCCACTAGATATTTGCATCCTTTATTTAAAATTTATAGATCTGAATCTCTGACAAATAGATCTATTATTTTTATAAATTACTAATTATATTCCACATTCTTATTACTACCAAATGACCAACATATACCCAGAAAATCTCAGACTCTCTGTTTAAAGTTGAATAATACAGTTACTTACTAATTTCAGGTGAAATTAAGACAAGTTAGGATATCATCGAAGAGTCAAATTAAACCTCAAGAATTGACTGTATAAAAATAATTCAGATTGTGTGGGAAAGTACACTCTTAGAAAACAAGAAATTTCTCCAGGAAAAAAAGGATAACAGAAGACCAATGGGAGGAAATTGATTTGGAGAAAAGCAGCTGTATCTTCCATCTGCACTCTCACAAGAGAGAAGTCTAAACATTACATTGCAGCAGAATTTTTACCTCTCAATTGTGAACACAGAAAAAGCAAATCCTGCTTCTGTAGTTGGTTTATAAACAGCATTCTTTCTGATTTTAATGAGAGGGTTTCAGGAAGAAAGGATCAGACAATATAATTTTGCACCCAGAAGCAAGGTTACCAAGGGGCTGGAGAGGGTCTTCTGCAAATGCACACTGATAACAGGACCAGGCAGCAGAGAGACCCTCAATGATAATGACCCCATAACTTGAGATACAGTTATTAAAATGAACCAATATGAGAGGGGTAGTCTATTAACTATATGAGGAAAATCCAAAGAAAATTATATATGATCTGCTTTCAGATGGAAATAATTTTTGTTAGGCAAATGCAATATTTAATAGGCTTGTAAATTGGATTGTGGCATTTACTGGAATTAAAAGGAAATAAAGTGATTAGGTAGCTGGATTGCTTAGATTTTTCTTCTTATCCCAGGGATTCTATCATATTTGAGGTGGTGAATTAGTATATGAAACAATGTTTTTCTAGCTTCTCATTAGCAGCACCAAACTGGCAGAACAGAACATTATGCCCTTGGTCAAAATGTGTTAGAGAGAAAGATGTTTTAAAATGTGATGTTACATGTGTGATGGGGATGAAACGAACAATGCCATATAATACTGAAGGATCTCTCTTAATTAACCAGAATTGCCCTAAGTCAGAGAAGTTTTGGTAGAAAATGAGGCAGCTTGTTATACACATTTTAGTTTGAAGTGTCAGTGGAAATTTCAAATTGTATGTTCAGAAAGAGAGGAAATTTGGAAATGAACTTCCTTAGAAGAAAAAAAATCAGCAAGGAAATATTTTGAATAAAGATTTTGGATTGCTTCACACTTAGAATATAACATAGCTACCATATGTGAGCATAATGTAGACCAAAGCTTATTTTATATTCCTCTCTTAATTGTCACAAGCATCCTTTAATTTAAGTATTATCCCTATGTCACAGACAAAAATAGGGCAGAGTGAAATGAAAAGCCCTTCTTCAACTACAAGAAACAGAATCAAGAGTTAAGATCAGGTTTTCTGATTCCACGTTTCCTGCTCCTTCATTTATGCAACAGCTCATCTGGAACAAAGAATAAAGAGAAAAAAGAAAGGAAGGTCAAGGAAAAACCATGGACAAATTTATGACTCAGAATTATGTTAGCATGAATTTTCAGTCAGCATAATTTTGAGAGTTTATCCAGCAAAGTCCAGCAACCTGGGAATACAACCTGCAAAACAGAAGGTAGAGTGATTCACTGTTGAAGATTGGCAAGTTGACACTATGCAAGGTTAAATATGCAAGGGTTTTTAAAGGTGGTAATGAGTACATCACTGGAAAGTGGGGCCATGTTGGCAGAGGGGCAGGTGAAGCTAGAAGGTGACTCATAGACTAAGAGTTTGAAAATGTCTGGCTGCCTCCCTGCCATTATCAAAGCTCAAAGTATCAGATTTTCATTTTCTCAGACTCTTGATTCCAGAACATAGGTGCATTGGAGATTTCTAAAGCTGGTTCTGCAAGATTTAGAGAAATTCTCAGAGCTTGCTACTATCCTTTCAACAGATTCCACTTCATCTTAAGTTAATGAGAAGAGTTCCCCCCTTTTTCTTACTAATACAATGTTTGATCAATTTTGGTCTTATTTTATCTGCCCTTTCTCTCCTCCAAATTCTTTAAAATTACAGAATGCAGTTAAGTATGTGATCCAGCATCCAAGGAATTTGGGAGAAACTCTTAGAAGGTAGAAAATAGATGGCATTGGTTTGACGTGAATAGAGAACCCCATAAGCTTAAAATATGCACATGAGGAAACTACTGGAAAGATTCAGACTAAGAACAGTTCCAAAGATGTTCATAGATGTAAGTGTACAAATGGAAGATAACTGGCTTCCAAACACAATCATTAGGGCAGTTAATGAACTGCATTACTCACAGCATAACTGGTAAGCCAAGCAAGGTTCTTTCTCTTTCCTCATACCTGGAACACTAGCTATTAGGAGTTGCATTCATCCCCAGGATAAAAAATTGAAACCACTCTCTAAGAAAGTGAAACCCCTGCCTAGGGATGCCTTCTTAGAAGACGTTAAGGGGCTGGGAGAGAAGCAGAGGAGAGCTTGGCAGAATGTTGGATGTCCAGGGAGGGAACTACCTTAGATCTTCAAGCTGAAGAAGTGGGAGGTTGTCAACTTTTCTACTTATTACAGGCTCAGCCTCCTGAAAGTGAAGTTGGCTGGTCCACATTTTCCATCGAACTATACAAAGCCCACAATCAGTTCTTCATCCAGAACAGCACTCTGGCTACTTCAGCTGCATTTAGCCATAGCAAAAGTCTAAAGAGAGTAAAACATGTCTTTGCATTATTTATATGTTGGTACTCTGCCATTTTAGTTTGCTTTAAACTAAATCATTCATAAAATAATCTGATATCAGCTACTTATACTTTATATCTAACTTTTGAATAAATGACCCTTTATAAAATAATTTCTGTAAATAAAACAGGCTTTTTGATGGAAGGATTATCCTAGTTTCTCTAAAATCATGCAAGATCAGTGTCTTCTATATTTTTCCTACAGTGTGAAAAGACAAAATTACAACAAAGTTAATGTAAAGTTCTAATCAGCTTATACTGGTGATTCTAGAATAAAGCAACATCCCATTCTATAAAGGAAAATGGATGATCTGATAAGTCGAGTGGAGGTGATGGGCTTTATAGGCAGAAAATAGCTGAAGAAAGCAGAAACAGGAAACACCAAGAGGACTGGTTGTTTCAAAGTTACTTTCCTTTTAGGGTAAAACAGAGGGGACTTTCTTATGCTGGCTCAGGAAAACTAGGCCCCTTCTGACTGTCTGCTGTCAATTTCCTGTTTCTTGGAAAACTGGTCCATTTCGAAGCTCAGTTTGATTATGTGGCACTTAGCATGGGTTTGTTCTGGTCTATTAGGGCTAGTGCTGAACCTTGGTTCAAAACAATGATCCCCCAGAAATTTTATTTAACAATAGTAATCACCTACGGAACATGTAGGGAAACACACACACACACACACACACACACACGCAAACACATACACATTCCTGAATCCCACTCCAGACCTACTGAATCAAAATCTTCATTTTAAGCCCATTGAGGGACTTGAAAATGAAAATCTTGAAGAAGTAAGCCAGGTAATTCTGTAATCTTACACATATGGGAAATACTACAGAATATGGAACTATGCACAACCACAAGCATACTCATTCACCTGCCCCTACACACCTACACACAAAGCATTTATGCTTTACTGCAAACCACCTTTCATAAACCTTTCCCATGTTCACTGTTTCCTAGTGGTATAAACTGAAAGCTATAAGTGTTTAAAGAGAAGGAATGATAACTTCCAGTGAGACTTGTTAATTCTTTTGTTGGCCAGTGTTGTTGTTCTCAAACTTCAGGAGGCATAGGATTATCTCAAAAATGATTCGAGGTGCCCAGCACCAACTTGCCCCTTCCCCCTGCAGAATCTCTGATCCAGTTGGTTAGCAACATACAGGAATCTTCATATGTAACAAGCATCCCTAGGTAATTTCATCACTTTGAGGAACACTTTCCTCCTCTCTCTTTAATTTCTCTGTGTCTCTTAGCCCACTCCTCACACTACTTATTTAACTTCTTTGCTTCATTTCCTCCTCCACTTTCCCTGCCTTACCTAGCCCTCTTTAAGTGACTGGAAATATGATGTAATTAATAAGTGTCATACCTATTTGGGTGAAGATTCTCAATACTATTTGCAAATCACATACGTGTTAGCGCCAGAAAAAATAAAAACACTTTTTATTAGTCTGTTCTCACACTGCTATAAAGAATACTACCTGAAACTGGGTAATTATAAAGAGAGAAATCAATGAAAACAAACAGACCTTCCTCAATACCTGCTAAAAAATAAGTGAAGTTTAAGTTGAATTGAGGGTAAATATTTTAGACAAATTAGAAACAGGTGAGTTACAAGGAACATTTAAATGCTTCATACTCCAACAAAAAAGGGGGGAGAGATTAGAGGCAACTCCTCTTTTCTGAGTAAGACCCAGAGAAAGAGTAAAAGGTGTAGCAAGAGATATTTTTATTTTTATGAATGCCTACGCAAAGAGTGAGAGGGAAGTGACAGACAGATGAAAAGTTTGAAATAATCTTGAAGCTCAGAATAGATAGGGGCAACTTAACCAATGTCAAAAGCAAAATTAATAATAAGAAAAATTACTGTCAACAGTATTGAGCCCCAGAGGGCTTTAGGCAGGTCATAGGAGGTTTATATTAAGCATAATCAGAAACAAAACAAAAGAAGACAAATGGAAAGGTTTGCATTGCCAGAATAAACAGTGTTTAGAGACTTTTGTTTGGGCACGCGGAAAGGATGTTACCCAAATGTGGAGGCTATCTTTTGTTTCAACAATAAGGATGTACCTAAATTGGTTGTTTATTGAACATAAAATGTCAGCAAATGTACAAGTAATCCTGAAAATCCACATCAAAAAAACTCTGGAAGATAAGAAAACCTCATTTTTAGAAAAAAAATGCAGTTAGGAGAAGCCGTAAATTCAGATAAGTCAACTTATTTTCTTTATGTAGGAAGGTAAGAAGACTCATTTTAAATTCACTCATATGATACTGAGGACAAACATCGACTCCTCAATACTGAAAAATCAACTCCTCTAAACAAGTCAACCTGAAATGACTTTCCCAGAGCAAAATTTTAATTCTAAATTAATCACACTCTTTAATACAATGAAATAATGGCATGTGTGTGCACACCACACACACATCCACACCCCTTTACCCTAGGTCAAAACATTTTTTCTGGTCTCCACCATCTCCCTTTCCTGTATTACACAGCCTAACATTCTGAAGAGAGAGTGTTTGTAACTTTAAAGTGTAATAAAATGAAAGTATATTAAATGAGCTCTATAAATTATGATGCATATGCTATTGTTCTGTTTTCTGACTTTTTAAAAATTTTCATAAAGCTAAAAATATAATTAAAAGCTAAATTAAAAATTAGTACATATTTTGGAGAAACATACCACTACTCCATATAATTTAATTTTCCCACATGTAATCTTTTTGCTGGATACATCACAATATTGAATGAGAAGGGTAAATACGTGTGGGAAAGAGCTTGTTGTGAATTCCTCTACCTGTGTAATACTCCTTCTTGGGCTTTCCTCTGTTGTCTGTGCTTGGAAAAATCCACTGGTTAATTTTAAGTGCACCTCTTACTTCACTGGTGTGAAATCCAATCATATTTATTTGAGTACATCCTCTTCCTCCAATATTGGCTCCATTTAAGCACATCTTAACTATCTTAATGGCTGTAATCCAGTCCAAGTGTGAAGGCCTGAGAAACAGGGAAGGTGATGGTATAACTCTCAATCTGAAGCTGAAGGCCCAGGAACTTGAGGGACCATTGGTGCAAGTCCTGGAGTTCAAAGGCTGAAGAACCGAGAGTTCTAATGTTCAAGTATAGGGGAAGATAGGAACTCCAACTCAGGAAGAGAGAGCAAATTCACCTTTCCTCTGCCTTTTTGTTGTATCCAGGCAGTCATTGGATTAGATGGTGCCCACCAACATAAGGTTTGGGCAGATCTTTCTTACACAGTCCACTGATTCAAATACCAATCTCTTTCAGAAACACTCTCAGAGACATACCCAGAAATAATGCTTTACCAGCTATCTTGGTATCTCTTACCCAGTCAAATTGACACTTAAAACTAACCATCACAGCTGATGACTATTAAAATACCAAAACTAAGGAGGCATTGTAAAAAGGTGGTCTGGACTACCAGGATGTATGAAGTCAATCAGTAAAATAGGACTTGCTACTCTTGGCAGTAAGAATCTGCAGGTGGCCAGTGGTCCAGGAAGGTAAATGATAGATTAGTGATCGTGTAAGTGGCAGATGTCGCAGCAGGTGGAAGTAAAGACCAATAACAGATAACTATAAGCACCAAAACAGAATCCAGGACATCAAAATCAGGCTCCAAAAAGGCCTTGTGGGAGTCCGTTCCCTTAGGCCTGCTGAGTAACTCAGACTCCCAGACTTACTAGCTTTGTTAACTTGGTCTAAGTTAGACTTGGTTAACTTAGACTTTTGACAATCTGCTTTGCCTCTTTTTTTTTTTTTTTTTTTTTTTTTTGAAACGGAGTCTCACTCTGTCACCCAGGCTGGAGTGCAGTGACATGATCTCAGCTCACTGCAACCTCCGCCTCCCAGGTTCAAGCAATTCTCCAGTCTCAGCCTCCTAAGTAGCTGGGACTACAGGTGCGTGCCACCATGCCTGGCTAATTTTTGTATTTTCAGTAGAGACGGGGTTTCACCATGTTGGTCAGGCTGGTCTCAAACTCCTGACCATAGGTGATCCACCTGCCTTGGCCTCCCAAAGTGCTGGGATTATAGGTGTGAGCCACGGCACCTGGCCCTGGTTGTTTTTTATCTTTACTTTTATAGTGCCCAGATCTGCCTTCACCATTATTTCCTTTTCTTGACATGATCTTATTTTATGTTTCTGAATATTTGGAGGCTGAGAGAAGTTTACTGCCAGGACAGAAGTTAGGTGTGGATGGGTCATCCGGGAACATGACACAGCACTATGATGCAGGTGCAAACCAGAGCAAGAGTGAGGATGTAACGTAGCAAAGATACAGAGCACATCCAGGACCTGAGTTATTGTGACATAAGTGGTTCTATAAATATGAAATAATTATGTTAGTGCACATGACCTCAACAATCAATAAGGTCCATAAGTGACTGCCAGGGAATGTTACTCCCAGTGATACTTCTGCTAAGAATGTGCCAAGAAAAGCGTTTTCTGGGATGAAGGAATAGCTTTCATGGGAACTCCTAGACATATCAAGATTCGGTTCTTTTTATCATCATTTTATCCTTTTCTGTCAAATAAACCACAGTCCACAGAAATTTGGAATTGCATTTTTATTCTGTAACAGCCTTGATGTCCTTCAATGGGAAAAGATAGGATCATTTACTCATGTCAGATTCTCTTACATGTAGTTGTTAGTCTGGCAAGCCACTGTAAGCTAATACCATGCAGATACCCTTCCCTGGATGGGTCTTTGATTTTCTGTTCTATATTTGAGGTCAAAATAGGCAAAAAAAAAAAAAAAAAGAATTAAGTATTTGGATGGCAGAATATGTATTCTGGAATTAAGGAGCATATAGACTTTAAAATCTCTGAAATATGTATAGTGGCCCAAACTCTTGCGATCTGATTTTAGGAACTAAATCTATCTGGAAGGCAAAGTATGCTTGTATACATTTTCGTTTGGGGGCATATATCTTGTATAGATCTATATGCAATTTTTGTTTATTCATTAAAGGGTAAAATATTCGTTTCTATCCTTTTAAGTGTTAGGAATTAAAGATGAGATTGCTTCTGCCAATGTTGATCACATAGTCTGGGATAAGAGGGATAAGTCTGGGATAAGGGGAGTTGACTAGTTGACTGCCACGTTGAAGGGCAAAGTACATAGTAATATAAATAGTAACATATAGTTAATCCTAGCCATCAAGATGTCATTAGGTGATTTTGATTATAAACCAAGTTTCTTTTTTTTTTTTTTTTTTTTTTGAGATGGAGTCTGGCTCTGTGCCCCAGGCTGGAGTGCAATGGCATGATCTAGGCTAACTGAAATCTCTGCTTCCCAGGTTCAAGTGATTCTCCTGCCTCAGCCTCCCCGGTAGCTGGGCCTACAGGCATGCACCACCATGCCTGGCTAATTTTTGTATTTTTAGTAGAGACAGGGTTTCACCATGTGGGACAGGCTGGTCTTGAACTCCCGACCTTAGGTGATTTACCCACCTCGGCCTCCCAAAGTGCTGGGATTACAGACCTGAGCCACCACGCCTGGCCCAAGTTTCTTTTCTGATAAGGTTTTTCTTGCCCTAGCTAAACGCAGTCACATGTCAATGTGTCTGTAAGTTACAAGCTGTTAGCTACTAAATGTTTAATGAAGAAAGAAGTATTTCCTAGTTGGAATTTGTGTTATGCAGGTCAAGTATTTGTCAAAATTTTCCTGAAATGGAACACTTATGATCTGAGTATTTCCTTGTATGTAAATTTTACCTCAAAAGAAGAAATTAGGGCAATAAAGAAATATTAAACTTTAGTTAATGATATGCATGCTGAGATGTTACATCTGTAAATAACTTTGAAATGAATCCAAAGATAAGGTGAATTGTTGGATGGACAGAGAGACAAGTGTGTGGCAAATCCAGTGTAGTAAATATTAATTTTAGTATCTTATTGGTAGAAATTTACATTCAAACTTTGTTATGCTTAAATTTTGTAAGGAAAAAAGCCCCGGCCCTATTAAGGTTGGGAGCTCAGGGGAGTTATAATAAAATGTAGCGTAATAAAATATAATATACTGGGCAGGCATGGTGGCTCATGCCTGTAATCCCAGCACTTTGGGAGGCCAAGACCAGAGGATCACTTGAGCCCAGGTGATTAAGACCAGCCTGGACAACATAGCAAGACTCTATCTCTACAAAAGATATAAATAAATAGCTGGGCATGGTGGCATGTGCTGGTAGTCCCAGCTACTCAGGAGATTGAGGCAGGAGGATCACTGGAGCCCAGAAGGTTAAACCTACAGTGAGCCACGATTGCGCCTCTACACTCCAGCCTGGGTAACAGAGACCTTGTCTCAAAAAAATAAAATTGAAAAACAGACTGAATTCAGATACCAAGTAATTAGTAGGCAAAAGAAGTTATCATAAGATTAATGCGAAACTCAGATTCCAACATGAAGTCTGGGTTTAAAGCCAATAAAGGCAAAGGCAAGAGTAGTCCACAGTCCACAGAAATACTCATTACTGTCATTACTTTTTTGGGTTTTTTTGGCTTTAGACTTTCTTAGACCTTGGCCCTGCGAGTATGTCTTTGTCAATTTTGAATGCAAGGTCTTTTAAACCCAGCATTTCATAAACATACTTGCACAGAATTTACTTAATTAACATATATTTTCTGATTGTATATAATGCATTAAGACATGCAATCATGCTTCATAATAAGCTTCCAGTTGGAAAAGACTCAATCACACTCTATCCTTAAAAGAAATCATTTCAATTGGGTAATAAGTGCTCACAATAAGCAGTTTTCCATGATTACAAAAAAAAAAGTTATGATTGGGTAAATATGCTTACTATAGCAACCTCTCTGTAGCAGTGACAAAAATTTTCTTCACTTTTTATTCATAATATACACAATTTTTAGCTTTCTACACTTTTATTTGGTTATAAGTCCTTGTCCAAATAGAGAAGGACCTGTATAACTCACAACGTGAACAATAAAGGGCAGAATAAGAATTGTGTCTAAGAATGAGCAAATCTATTCCCCTTAAGTATCTTCTAGCTATTAAAAAGCTCTAATATCTTTTGGATTTAATACAATTTTTAATACACTTGGAAGTGATTATAACATGAATTTTTCCAGGGGATAAATTCATGTTATATTCATATCATCATGCCAATTCTTTGCCTGGAATTGAGTTGATTTTCAGTCCACGTGGTTAAATGAATGACTGGTTGTCTTAGTCCATTTGTACTATAACACAATACCTGAGACGGAGTAATTCATAAATAATAGAAACTTACTTTTGCAATTCTGGACACTGAGAAGTCCAAGATTGAGGCACCAGCAGGTTCGGTGTCTATGGAGTGTCTGGTCTCTCTGCTTCCAAGATGGCCTTTTGTTGCTGAGTCCTCTAGAGGGGAGGAAAGCTGTGTCTTTACATAGCAGAAGGTAGAAGAGAAAAGGGGCTTTGCTATTTCCCTCCAGCCCTTTCATAAGGGCAGTAATCCCATACATGAGGGTTCTTCCCTCATGATTTGATCACTTCTTGAAGGCCCTACCCTTTACTTCTATGGCAATGGGGTTTAAGTTCAACCTATAAATTTTGGAGGGACACATACATTGAAATTGACATAAGTAGTAAACACAAACATTTGAAAGAAGTACTTGTGTTTCCACATAGTGGAAGCATTTGAAAGAAGGAGCAGACTCCAAATTGCGGGAGGAATAATGCTGAGATTAATAGACAAATATATTAGTTAATATAAAAAAAGAGAAGTATGTATTAACATGTCTATGGGAAGGCAGGAAGGGAGACAACTAAAACTGAGCAATGTTTAGCTTATTACTAGAACTACTGTTAAAGATTTCAAGGGGGGGTGTTCGATTTCAACATGTCAGTACAGGTTGAGCGTCCCTAATGTGAAAATCCAAAATGGTCCAAAATCCAAAAGTTTTTGAGTGCCCACATGATGCCAGAAGTGGAAAATTGCTCACATAAGCACTTAACATGAATTTTATTTCAGGCACAAAATTACTTAAAATATTACATAAAATTACCTTTAGGCTAGATGTATATGAAATGTAAACAAGTTTTGGATTTAGATTTGGGTCCTGTCCCCAAGTTATTTTATTACATATCTGCAAATATTCCAAAATCAAAAAAACTGGAATTCCAAAACAATTCTCGTTCCAAGCATTTCAGGTAAGGGATTTTCAACTTGTATCTCTTTTTTCCCCACCAAATGCTGTTACCTACTTCTTCCTCCCAACATCACATTGAAATGAACAAAGGAAATGAGCAAAGTCTTACGATAGTTATCTGCAGGAACAGCAAAAACTGGAAAGGTCTCTTCCCCAGGCCTGAAAATGTGATTAACTCCTGACAGATATGAGGCTTGTGAGCCTTGTAAGGTAAGATTGTTGTGCTGTCAGCTCATTATGCAACACAAGTAAAAAGCTACCCAGTGAAAAAGTAGGCAGGTTTCACCTAGTAAGCATCTGTGTCAGGGTCCTTCTTGAAGCAAGCTATGAGACAAAATTGGGAGACCCAAGCTAGGGGAGGGGAGCCATCAGATCACAATTTAATCTGACCCTGAGTGAAGGAGAAAGGAAAGGAAGGAAGCAGGATTCACTGAAGTTCAGAGGAAACTTCAGCAAGACCATTGGAAAGACAAAATTGCTGTCAGAAGGGACATGATTCTCCCAGGACCTGGCCTGCCTTTAAATCCCTGCCACACTCACTCATTGGTGAGAGCAGTCTATGGGAAATGTGGCATCCACTAATTAACATGTGGCAACAATGTCCGATCACAGCAACTGGGGGTCTCAGAGAATTCTGCTCCTCATGGTCCGAGACCTGAGAGGTACAGCCTCATGGCCACAGCATCCACCTCCCCTATTCTGATATAAGACACACTCCTCTATCGATCCCATGGGCCTCTCTTTCTAAGAGAAATTGCAAATAGGCAAGGCAGAGGGTGTAGGATGACCTATATAGTCCCAGTTGCTGTAGCTCATTTGGGGGTTGCCATTGTTTCTTATCTCTCCTTCTTCCACTATTTGTTTCAAATCCCCCCTCATTTGTCATTGGCTCTCACATTGGCAGGTAATGGTGCTTACATGGTGATATGACCCAAACCTTCATTTCAAAGGGCGTTAAACTCTTGACAATCACACACTTCTTAGATTAGGGTTGCTGCACATGTTTATTCACAGTTACGATGGACCAAGGGAGCAGCAAGAGGTGCCCAGTGGATCACCTGGGTTCTATACATATGCTTCCCTGACGCCACTGTGTAAGAGCAACCCTACCTCTTCCTAGGGATCAGCATCAATTTTGCATGCTGGTATGGCAACTCCTCTTCTTACCTGCTGGTCTGTGGGAACAAGGAGTCCAAAGGGCCCTGGCAGCAGCCATAACATGTACGTCAATGGTACCCTTCTAATGGCACAGCATCTCTCTAGTCAGGATCTATTGCTTCTTGCTAGATGAGGCAACAGTTTCTGATGCAATAACAAGTATTACTTTTGTAATATGTTTTTGACAACTTTTTGATTTGAATCTTAGTGCCATGAAATCACTTTGGAGTGAACTATAACTGTTTCCTCCTCCCAATGCACACTCAGATTGTTGTAAGAAGCAAACGAAATAATACATGTAAAAGAGATTAATGGAAAACTTGGAAAAAGGTGGGATCAGATAAATATTGAATCTTTATCCAAATCTTATCCAATGATAAGTGATAAGCTATACATTTTAAACACTATTTTTGAAGCATCAGTTATTAATTTAACACACAATAATGGGGGACCAGTTTGTGCCATGCATAGCACTAAGCATGGGCATGAATTAGATGGGGTTTAACACATTTGGAGCTGACCCTATGTTCTTTTGCTCCTCTTTTAAACTCAGCCCATAAAACATGTCACAGTGGCTCCTTTCTTACACAAATAACTTAAACATTACCACTTAACATTTAAACTTATTGGTACTGAAATGACAGCATTAGTTCTTTTTTCAGGGAAAATTACAAAAACAGTGCATTATCTCGTCATTTTAATATATTACTTGTAGCTTAGTAAGTAGCACCCTTTTCAACTAGTTCTTAATAGGTGTACATACGTATTGTCATTTTTTTGCCTTAAATTTGCATCTAGGTATTACTCATATTTTGATATCTAGTAAAGCAAACAGGTATTCATCTTCCTGACACTTTCTGTACAAATCTGGGGTGTTTTTACAGTATTTGGTTTCTATGGCTGATTAAAACTGTTCATGATATAGCCTCTGTGGTTTACACTACCTGACATTCATTAGCATGTAGAATTTGTTTTAAAAAATAGTGAATAATGCATCTCAATGAAAAATCGGTACTGTCAGTAGGAACACCAAATTTTCCTTTCCTAGAGGCAGAAAAACATTATATTCTTTCTTTGGTGTCTTCTTTTGTTCTGTCACAATGTCTTGAATATTTTGTTCTGAGTACTGTTCCTACCATGGTGTTCTGTACAATCACAGTCCAGGCTCTATGCTTCTCAAAAATATCAGCTTTGTAGCAATGTTTAGTTTACTGAAAAAAATAGACTAGTTGGGCAATGAAAATTTTCCTTTAAACAATGAAATATATGTTGAAGAAAAAAATAGTCAAAATCTTAAATCTTTATAATAAAAAAGTGAGCCAAGTAAAGAGAGTCAGGGGAAGAAATATAAAAGAATGAGCAAGGGAACAAACAATAAGAGAATCAAGAATGTAATTATCACGAGATATACAATGTTGGGAACATTGTTCAAAGAATTTTGATTCCACATTATAGTTCAAACTTAGCATATAAATAGCAAATTCCAAAAATGGAATTTTAAGCCATTTTCTCAATTACCAGTTTGGGATTTTGAATGGATGCAATTTTGAGATTGTTTATACCGACTAAAATACAGAAAAGGCCAAGACAAAAGGTTCCTGAAGATCGACTTCAAAGTATTTGAAATGTTTTTGTCACTTTTGAAATGGATATTTTTATAATCATTCTTAAAAATAATAATCCACTCTAGTCCTCCAGAAATACTGAAAATTTTAATTTATTTTATTTGGCACATTGTTATTTTCAGAATAGAAAAATATTGCTCATAATTTCATGATCATAAAATAAATTGATTTATACTGCATTATAATAGATTAGGGCCAGCTCTAGGGACAGAGGCAAAAAGGGCAAGCTTTATGGGTGGCCTAAGCTGAGAGGCTCCAAAATCTCGCTAAATGAACATGTTTCCCATGTCAGCTGGCATGGAACCTGAAACTCCCAATAGAGTCATTGTTAAAGTTAAGCTAACGATTCCAGAAGGCCTCGGTAATAATGCAAATTATTTTTTCACCAGTAGTGAAAATATTAATCTATTATCATTAATTTTTAAAATTATAAATAGCTAGCTGCTACTTCTTAAAGGCCATGAATTACTGAAAAGAAATGACAAGGAAATGCTGAGAGGAGGCAGAAGGAACTCATTATTTCAGATGTGTGGACTCAGAATGTGACACTGTAAGATGAGCTTTTTTAACTGGGAAAGTTAACAAATTTGTTTTAGGTATTGCTATCTGTCACTCAATGGAATGTTCTACCCCCTTCATATTTTATGCAGACAATATGGCTAAAAACTCATTTCCAGATGCCCTTGTGATTAGTTGTCTGGATGAGATTAGCTCCTACCATTGAGATGTACTCATTCAAGTTTGGAAAATAGAAAGGGTAGGAGTTATTCTTCATTATTTTATTGGAGCAGGCAAATAAGCAGGACACAGCAGCTATTCTATCTGCTGGGCCCAGCTTCTTTGAAAATAAATGTAGGTGAGAGGCTGCTGTGAGGTTGGTAGTGGTGGTAACTATTACAGCAGAACTTTCCTGATCACTGGATGGCAGTAGCATTTTTTGACCGCTGACTTATCCTCTAACACAATTTTGCAAGCACCTTAATTCTGGTATTGAATTATTTTCTGCTTGAAAACATTGAGTGATTTCTTTTCTCTGCCATGAATCCTGATGAACAAGATCCAAAGTCAGGAATCAGGAAAATAGATGCTGAGGTCCTATAGCAATGCTAAATAAGAGTGGCCTCAGACAGAGAATTTATATGCGCGACTTAATCGGAAAGTAGCCAATCCCCATGAAATACATGAGAATCCTCAGGACACAGTGAGGAGTGTGAGGGCAGCTGCTAGTACAGGATCTGGGGAAAGGCTGACTTTGTCATAGGTCTGGATCTCAAGAGCTACCTAAAGGAAGTAGACTGAGGTGGAACAGAACAATAGCCTAGTAGAAGAAAAGAACAGCAAGTCCGTAACTCATTTTCTCCACATGGCTCTTGTAACTTGCTTGTATAATTTGCAAAATATTAGAAACTTTGGTGTTGACCAAGATTTTTGATTCATATCTCTGCTTTGGCAATTCAACATGTATGGCAAAAATTTGTAGCAGTGTCTAGATTATCTTTCAAACCCAGGACATATTTATGAAAATAGAAGGGAAAGAAACATTTCATGAGAATTTGGGGTCAAGATGGCTCCCAACAAATCCTTGAGAAGAAGGGCCAAGAGCCTTGTAGAAGATTCTTGGGACAAGTCTTACCAACTGGCATTGGTGGAAATAGCCCTAGGGAAATTAGCTAAGTGGATTAGAGAGAGAACTCTAAGCTACTACTGGCATCACTGATGAAAATGAAATCTCTAAAGGGTTAACTAGAAATGTGGAACAGAAAGAAATTAAACCATTTTTTCCCTAGTTACCCGAAAAGCATTTTCATGTTACTATGGCTACCTGGTTAGATATTATATTCATCTACAAAGTAATTTGCTTATTATCATTGATCACCAAAAAAGACTACAGTGGGAGTCAAGGGCCATGGCCAGATGTCAGGGACATCCACAGGGTAGGCTGTCTATTAAATAAAGAGCTAGGCTACTTCATGGAGAAGTTCTGCAGAAGACTAATGAAACTTGGTTACGTAGATCCCCAGAATAAATGACTAGGGGACCGCACCAATAATTCTAGATTCTGCTGAATAGAAGAAATTACTTGGGTTTACCACAGATAAGCAATGGTCTGCACACATTTGTGACCAGCCCCATCATGATGGTTTGACAACTAACTTGATGCAGTGGGTAAAGTTGGGAAGACTTACTTTGAGAATATAACACCATATAGACCCACTCCTTCCCTGACTAAGACATAGAACACTCCTTCCAAAGCACAGGAATATGTGAGTACAGGTGTTCTTAGGTTGGTTGCATGATGATCAAAAGTGGAAACCTAATTTAATGCTGGTAACTGATTATAATACTAGCTGTGAAAGAAAATTCTCCAGTCCCAGATATCTTATATAGGCATGTTCTTGGAGGCCAGGAAATTATTCAGATGACAGAATATGATTTATTAGACCTGATTTCACTAAAGGAACTTAGTGATGGGAAGACTTGTCCTACCCAAAGTAAAGGTGATACTAAGCATGGGGTGAAAGAGGAAAAAGAGAACAAAAATCAGCTTAACTGGGTGGGCTTTTTAGAAGGCTGTTGAAGAACGGAAAGAAAAAGCGGGAAATTGAAAGGATTCTTACTAGAGGATTCATAACACATTATCAACCCTTGGGAGCTAAGAAAGCATCTTCAAATCTATCCTTGACTCTTATGCCTCAAAAGAGCCCTACCAGATTTACTTTATATATCCTGGCTTGGAAAAATTTAGATCTGCTTATTCCATTCAGAATAGGAATGCTAGATATGCCTTATCAAATAAGATATATCAAAGTCTGCCGTTTACCAGGTTTAAATTGGGCATTGGTCCAATTTAACCGATGGAGAAACTTGGTATTGCTTGAGCCCTCCTTGGTAATAAATATCAAGCACTATAGAACTCTAGGAGGGCAGCAAGAAATTACTACTTTAAATATGGAAATTACTGAAACTAGAGTATGAATTTCCTTTAACTCCTTTTTAAACAGTCCCATCTGACCTACAAACAAGGCAGTCTTGGGACCAACATGGGGTCTGACAGTAGGCTAGCTAGCAGAGATTAAATTAAGAAATCCCCCTTGGATGAAACCCTGAGAAGAAAAATACGTTAAAAAATTTACAAATGCTTGTGTCCCAGGCATTATTCCTCAAATCTTTTACATCAATGCTCAGTTGATTTTTAAAGTGTCTGCAAATACATCACATGACATTTGGAACACATGGCAGAAACTGAATACTGGTCTTCATTGGAAATTGCTGGAGTTTTGGATTCAAAAGCAACCTGATCGAGGTTCTTCATATAGTCCTTATGAAGGAGCATAGCTAGCTGGGTTTTGTTAGGACTGCTCCCACTGTAGAAGGACATCAGACAATCCTGAGGTTAAAATGACCTATCAAGTCTTGAATAACATCAGAGAAACAGTATAGAAACAGAGAGGCCAGGTATGGTAATTCACACCTGTAATCTCAACAGTTTGGGAGGCCAAGGCTAGAGGATTGCTTGAAGTCAGGAGTTCAAGACCAGCCTGGGCAATATAGTGAGACCTCCATCTTTACAAAAATAAAAATAAATTAGCCCAGCCTGGTGGCACACATCTGTAGTCCCAGCTACTTGGGAGGCAGAGTTTGATGCAGCAGCAAGCTGTGATTGCATTGCATCCTGGGTGACAGAGCAAGACCCCATCGTTAAACAAATTTTAAAAATTAGAAAAAAAAGAAACAAAGAGAAGAACAGAGCCCATTGTTAAAATACAAATGGTACATTTAAGAACTTGCAACAGGGCTGATGTGAATAAACATGTTGCTTCATTGCCGATGATAGAAGTCACTGAGGTTTTAGCTATTCCCATCACTCTGCAGTCTGAATTCTGATTCTATCCCAACCAAGGTAAAAAAAGGCTGCTTAGTTCACTGAAGAGGTCCCTGAGGACAAAGGTCTAAACAAACCTTGCAAGTGGACCATATCAGACCCTTATGGGTAACCCCAGGGGTGTATAAGTTTATGTTAAAGGAGATTGACTCCTGTGCTGGATGTGCCACACATCTACTGAAGTGTTATCTGCAGGAATTGCCTCAGCTATAAAGAGCTGCCTCAGTAATAGCGTCACACTTCCCAGGGAGGCCCACAAGCAATGAGTGATCAAGGCTGGCATATGAATGTCTGGTCATTTTGGCCCAATTTGGTAAATTCTGACAGTCCAGTTTAGTTGCACAGGTCACTGTGAGGTTGGCCAAATGTATTCTTGTCTTGTATCACAGCTTGACTTCTCATTATGACCAATTCTGCTTCCTTCCTCTTCTTTCCATAGATATTGATCCCAAGGACATTCCCTAATAAATGCAATAAGTGGTAAAATCCATCCAGAATCTGCTTATCAGAGAATGCTACCTATGATCATATCAGAAGAGGAGCTTTGCAGGAGCATCAATCATCTGTGATAACCTAGTTAGTAATTAGGCCCTAATCACTAATTGTAGGTGGAGAACAAATTAGTAGACTGATGGCAATCTAATCGATAAGTCTTTTG
Source organism: Homo sapiens (assembly GCF_000001405.40). Classification (NCBI taxonomy): domain Eukaryota; kingdom Metazoa; phylum Chordata; class Mammalia; order Primates; family Hominidae; genus Homo; species Homo sapiens. Next base: position 123,711,412 of record NC_000006.12, read on the forward strand.
TCAATAGTGAATTGGAATTGTATACTTGAGTAAAGAAATTCATAGTTGACATTTATCAGGTATTGACACATGTGAGGGAAATTGTAACTAAAGGATTTGTATGGATAGTGCCCACTCTATTGACATTTTCAGAAAACATCATGAAAAAACTTAGAGTGATTAACATGTAATTGAAAGCCAAATGTGAAAGCCAGAGAGCCTTCCTGGTAGCGTACGAACAAGGAAGATAAAATAGAAAACTGAGGACCAGACCCACTAATCTCCAGACTGTCTGAGCCTGCAGAAGTTGCCAACTCCTCCATCTTCACAACAAGCACTTCCTTCTTGTGCAGCCCCCTCTCCTTTTGATATCATCGCTTATCTCCCCTGCTAAACACTAGGCTTATAATAAAAGCTTACGTCACAGCAGAACCCAGGTGAAAGACCTACCTAACCTGTACCAGCAAGAACCCAAGAGAATATAAATGGAGCAGATTCTGAGAATTACTGATCAAAGGAGAGGGAAAACAAGATTGAGTAAGGAGAGTTTTTTGATTTGGGCGCAACCTCCTGAAGTATCAGAATTCAACATCCTAGCAAGAACACCCATAAGATATGGTGAGAAGTCCCTAGCAGGAAGGTTCCTAGAGTTATGGAAAAAGAGATAGCCCTTGCTAAATGAGGTTGAGATGTCAGAAGTGCAGAGGCAATGACGTAGGAAAGGATTAAAGGGCACAGAGAAATGGTCCTGCTGGAGTTGGTCGTCTATCTTAGGCTGGAAGAATCACCAAATAATTATGTTCCACTGCAAGGTCCAGAGTATATGCCATTTACTAAAATTTTAACAATATCCAGACTAGAGGAGGACCAGCATCACTAAGTTCAGTGTGGGCTCTCTTTCCTAGGTCAGGGCTGTCAATGGGAGAAGCAAACCTCTATAGAACTAGTATCTCTAATAATAAAGGCAATGGTAGGATACTAACTAACATGGCACATGTATACACATGCAACAAACCTGCACGTTGTGCACATATACCCTAAAACTTAAAGTATTAAAAAATAAAATAAAAAAATAAAACAGTAGAGGAAATGTGGATCCAATTTTCCCAGTAAAGCAAGGTAGGAAAAGCAGGCGAGATCTGACCTGCAAATAGTTGTGCAGAAAATTAATAAACACAATGTTTTTAGGGACAAACTAGAAACACGGGCAACCAAAAACTATTTAATTTGTATCATCAGAATAAACCAGGAATGAATGATCAGAAAGCTGAGGGCGCCCAATAACATGTCATGATCCCTTGAACAAGCTGTTAGATCTGAAAGCCATTAATTGAAAAGGAGTCTGAGTCCCAAATAGATCACTGTGCCGACAGACTCACTCATTTAGTTATTTTCCAAGTCTCTAATATATAATTTGGATAGATATATTTGGCTGTGAGCTGAAACTTCACATTAGGTCCTTGTCCCGAGGGGTATGGGTTATCAGATGGAGAAGGCTAAGCAGATAACACTGAAACATCTTTATACGAATAAGCCAAGAGAATGACAAAAACAATATTGCATCCTGAGTGGATAGTGGAAAATAGTACCACCTTTAAGGATCTAAAACAAGAGTTGGCAAACTATGACCCATATGCTAAATCCATCTCACCATCTGTTTTTTGTAAGTAAAGTTTTACTGGAGTCCATCTGTTTACGTGTTATATGTTATAGCTGCTTTCACATGACAACAGCAGAGATGAATTGTTGCAATAGAGATAATATAACCTGAAATGCTTAAACTATTTGTTATATGTGCCTTTTCAAAAAAAGTTTACCAAACCCTGTTCTAAAGGGTACAAGGGCAGTAATCTTCATCATATCTCAATTTAATTCACCAGCCTGGCTCCTGAAATCAGACAGATGCAGCGGAGTCACAGTAGACTACCACGAACTCACAGGTATAGTAGTGCCGATTTCAGCCACCTTGAGAGATAGAGTGCTCTTACCGGAGCAAAGTAATATGGTCTCCAGTATGTGACATGCAACCCTGGATTTGGCAGATGCATTCTTCCCTTTACCTGTTATAAAAGAGGATCATACATAATTCACATGAACATGGAATAAATAAAATTATATGTTTATAGTTGCCCCATAGCTATGTAAACTCTCCTAGCTTCTGTTGAAAGACAGCATAAAGAGATCTGGATCATCAGAACATTTCGGAAACCATCACATCCATGATGTACATAAATAACATCATGCTAATTGGGCCAGAGGAGCATATGAGAGGCCTTGGTAGGACAGTCATGCTTCAGAGGGAGTGAGATAAATCCCATAAAGATTCAGGGGTCCACCATATGAATAAAACTTTCCAAGGACTGGTGTTTAGAAACAAGCAGGTATATCTCATCCAAGGTAACAGTTAAGTTATTTAATCTTGTCTTACTCGCAATGAAGAAGATAGTACAATACCCTACAGGTGTCTTTGCATTTTGGGGATAACATATTCTTTTTTTTTTTTTTTTTTTTTGAGATGGAGTCTCACTCTGTCACCCAGGCTGGAGTGCAGTGGTGTGATCTCAGCTCACTGCAACCTCTGCCGCCCAGGTTCAAGCAATTCTTCTGCCTCAGCCTCCTGAGTAGCTGGGATTACAGGTGCCTGCCACCACACCCGGCTAATTTTTTTGTAGTTTTTAGTAGAGATAGGGTTTCACCATCTTGACCAGGCTGGTCTTGAACTTCTGATGGCTCTGTCTCATATCCCAATGATACAAAAAGATGTTGGCTTTCAATTTACCCTAGAGCAGGAAAGGTCCCTGCAGTAAGTCCAGGCTGCAGAACAAGCAGCCCTGCCCTTGGGCAATACATCCAGAAGACCCTAAGGTATTAGAATATATTAATGGGAAAGGTACAACATGAGGAATTTATATTAAATCTCAGTGGGAGAATCCAAATTCAGACCACTGGAGTTCCCAAGAAGGACTTGACATCTTCAGAGGGAGATTACATTGGGGCTCAGAAAGCAATACCCCAAAATGAAGGCCTCAGTAGCCACCTCAGAAACAAGAGTATTTCCCTGACCTTCTCCTGTTCCCCTCTCTCTCAGTCCCATTCTCCCTGAGGCTAGCGATAGAAACTAGAATCCCTCTTCCAGAAGGTGGGTCATAGAAACAAGAACCTCTTTTACCCCAAAGCCAGTCATAAAACCTAAAAATATTACTCTACCTTTCCCTCTGTCCTATCTATGTAAAACTTGGCCATAAAAAGATGATCTGACCTATCTTTTTTGACTGTGGGTCATAAGACCCCCATTCCAGAGAAGTCCTGCCCCACACCCGGAAGGAAGGAATGCATGCTCACAGAGGTCAAGAAGATTCTAGACTGACAAGCCTCACTGGGCTTCCCTCACTCAATCTGTTAGCATTAGAGCATATCTTTTTGTCCAATCATATTTCTACATGGCTGTCTATACTTTGTTGAAGCTAAGCATTAAAATGGGCCATTTCCCCTGTGTCTTTGTGTCTTCATTCTGAAGATATCATTCTGTGTATAGACATTAAATTAATTTGTATACCTTTCCTCCTATTAATCAATCTGCCTCATATGAGTAATTCTCAGCAAAGCTTGAAGGAGCCAAAGTCTTTGGCCCCTATCTGATATACCTTTTGAGAAATGACTCCTTTTGTTCAACAGTGCCGTGAAGAGGCCTTGGCATAGCAGATGTTACAGTCTGATTTTTGAGTAAGTGGTACTGTTGAATCAAATTATCCCACCAGGGAAGAAGGTTTAGGATAAAATGGGTAATAACGGGAAGCAATAAAGATTATGGCAAGTAGAAAGGAGGCACAAATGAATCAAAACTCCAGGAAAGGAAGTGATAATATTATTCCCACAAGAGCATCTTGGAACAAGAGAATAATACTCTCAGCCATTTCTGTCAGATTATATTTTGATGAATGGCCAATGCTGGGAGAAATCACCTGATCTGTTTTCTGCAGAGAAGAAAAATAAAATTCATGCTTATTTACTAGCTCTTGTTTGGACTCCACCTGAATAATTTCGAAAAAGATGTAATACAGTGCCCCCTGGTGACTCAACTGACCAATAGCCAATTAGAACTGCTAATTAATTGTAGCTACCATTTTACTATTTATAGACTGTATTTACTACTTGGTTCTTTTTCAGATAACCAGAGAACTAAATTGCCTGTGAATTACACAAAGCATGGGTTCATGAACAGTTTAGCATCTGCGCACCGTGTGTCAGTTAATCAAGATGGCAGCACACTGCTAAAGGAGTTGCCTGGGAATTATAAGAAGCACATTGCTCTTGGCTGCCTCGTGTGCCAGAGCTAGCTTTTCCCTTCTGACCATATCAAATGTGAATGTAGACTGAATAACTTTCGGGAAAGTAGAAATAGAACCAAGAGAGCCCTGAGGAGAATGAGAAATAGGAATAACATAGTTATATACCATAGAACAACATGCCCATTTGAAGTTTTATGAAACACCCAATATTTTGGGCGTTTATTATGTACCTAAATTGTGCCCATGCTACAAATGCCTGAGAGTAACAACATATATGGTGGCCCAATCAGCATGCATCCCCATCTAGCCAGACATGACATGGGAATATTAGAAAGTGGTCACTGATAACCGGGTCCGGCAAAAATATCCTTTCTGAAGGCTCATTATTGTGATAAAAAGAGCTGCTAATACAAATTCATACTGCATTACAAGGAGGCCAATAGTAAATGTGGAAAGAAAATGAAGTGATTTGTGAGTGGGATAGAAGTATAATCAAGCTAACAGAACACCATACCCGTTATCAGTACTAAGTGAGGACTTATCATCTCTCCCAGTGTTTCAGTTATCTATTACTGCATAATAAACCACCCCAAAACACAGGCACTTCAACATCAATGCTTATCTCCAGTGGTTCTGAGGGCTGACTGGGCTCAGCTATGAAGTTCTAATGTGGGTCTCGTAGGTGGTTATAATCAATTGGTGGCTGAGGCTGGTGTCTTTTGAAGACTAGATGGGGCTGCATGCTTAAGAAAAAATTTTACTACCGTAGCTAGCACCTTAGCTGGGATGGATAGAATAGATAGGAGCTATCTGGGGGTCTCTCTCTGCAGGATAGCTATACGTAGCTAACTCAGGCTCTCTCATAGCATGATGGTCTCAAGATAGTCAGACATTATACATGAGGTTGACTTTCCCCAGTGTGAGCATTTCAGGTGAAAGCTTCAAGGCTTCTTATGAAATAGCCTTAGGAATCACAGAGTTTTACATCTACCACATTCTGTTGCTCAAGAGTGAGTCACTGGCGTCAGAACTGAACCAATGAAAGACTCTATACTGTGTTGTCTCCGGACAACCTGAAAGTCTTACTCCAAACAGCTGCATATTATGTCAAACATTATGTTAATCCCTCTGATGCAGTCAAGTGGTTTTTGTTTTTACTAATAGAATTAACTGAAAATCAGTTGGTAATCCCCAGGACACAAAATACTGATTTGAAGCCTGCCACTGATAGAATACCTCTGAAAAATGACTTGGTGAAAAGGAAATAAATGTGTAAAAAATTATACACACACTTTAATAGGTACATATAAAGAAGTTCAAATCACTTTTGATGACTGAAAACTAGGAAGAGAGTATCAACGGGGGATATGGTCATAATTAACATATATTATAAAGATAATTTCAACTCTCTATTGATGATTCACATTCTGGTAATTATTGGGATAGTCATAGATTTATATATTTGTGTTAAAAACTGCAGAAATTTTTGTAAGACTTTAAAAAGAGATTCCTGAGAAACATGAAGCAAGGAGAAACGGATGCAGGTCAGAGGATGGCCTGGGAAGGACAGATTTCACAGGAGGTCTGAAACTATCTCCTCAGAGGTATTCAAACCATCAGATTCTCAACTGGGGAAGGGATAAATTCTTAGGGCAAAAAAAAATCTTACTTCTTATGTATAAAGTACAAATAGTATACAAGATAATAAAAATTGCGGCATAAAAATTTCATGGGTTACGTTTAGAAAAAATGTATAAAAAGTTTCTGTAGATGGGTAGTAATGACAAAAAGATTGAGAAATCAGGTCTTAAGTCAATTTTGCCTTGGACAGACAGCCTTGTATATGTTCTAATGGCATTTACTATCTGAAAAATAGCTAAATTTCTGATCCATGGGGCTTTTAGCATAATATTCCCATTTTGCCTAGATTGCTAATTATTACCATACCAGAAATTTATAAACTTATGGAGTTCAGTTGCCTAGAAAGTGGACGTTAGACAATACGCCCTTTTATTTTATTTTTTTAAATTTTAGTTGTGAGAGTTCTTCATATGCCCTGGTTACAAGTCTTTTATCAGATATGTAATCTATAAACACTTATCTCAGTCTCTGGCTTTTTTGTTTCATTCTTTTAGCAATGTCTTTCAAAATCAGAAGTCCTCAATTTTGATAGTCTAATTCGTAAATATTTTCTTGTATGGTTCATGCTTTTAATATTGTATCTAGGAAGTATTTGCCAAACCCAAAATTAGAAAGATTTTCTATTAGCTTTCTTCTGGAAGATTAATGTCATTGTGTTTTACATTTAGTTCTATGATACATTTTGAGTTAATTTTTGTACATTATGCAAGATGTGGATCAATATTCAATTTCTTGCATATGAATAGTTGTTCTAACATTATTTGTTAAAAAGCTGTCTCTTTTTCCACAGAGTTGTCTTTGTACTTCTGCCAAATATCAATTGACTATGGGTGTATAGACCTATTTCTAAGCTTTCTAGCCAGTTTGTTGACCCACCTGCCTATCTTTAGGCAAATTTCACACTGTCTTGATACTGTAGCTTTACAGTAGGTTGTCCTAGCCTGTTTTGTGCTGCTGTAACAGAATATCTTATGGTTCTGGAGGCTGTGAAGTCCAAAGTCAAGGTTCTAGCAGATTTGGTCTCTGTGCTGCCTCTTCCAGGAGGAGAAATGTTGTATCCTCAAATGGCAAAAGAGCAGGAAAGGGGAATCCACTCCCACAAGCCTATTTTATAAAGTGATATTCATCCTTTCTTCAAAGGAGAGCCTTCATGACCTAAACATTTCCCCCAAAGGCCCAACCACCCAATAATAACACATTGGGGATTGAATTTCCAATATATGAGTTTTGAAAGGGAAAAAAATTCAAAACATAGCACAGGTCTTGAAGTCAGTTATCATAAATCCTGTAACTCATTTTTTTTTTTTCAAATTTATTTTGGCAAGTCTAGATTCTTTGTATTTCTATCTGAATCTTAGGATCAGCTTGTCAATTTATTTCCCTGGAAAAGGCTGCTTATATTTTTGTAGGGAACACATTGAATCTGTAAATTAAATTGAAGGAAATTAACATGTTGGTAATATTGAGCCTTCAAATCCATGAATATAGTTTATGTATCCATTTATTTAGGTTCCCTTTAATTTTTCTCAACTTTTTGTGGTTTTCAGTGAATAGGTGTTTCAAATTTCTTTTCAAATATTTCTAAGAATTTTATGTATTTGATGATATTACAAATGGTCTTGTGTTATAAATTTTAATTATCAATTTTTATTGCTAGTTTGTAGAAATACATTTAACATTTATATATTGATCCTATATTGTACAATTTTGTTAAATTCATTTACTAATTCTAGTAGCATTTTAACACATTCATTAGATTTCCACATAGACAATTATGATCAGGACAGGAGGTAGAGAAATTCTAGGCAGACAGCGGTGGGTCCCTGGCAAAACCCCACCCTCAAGCCTGAAACCATGGCCTGAAATGGGAACTTATTCCCTGTTTTCCCACCCAAATATTGCTTTTTCCAAAACTACCCATGGCCCTGGCCCCACCCCGCCCCATCCTGTGGCTATGAAAACCCTATACTCAGCAGGCAGAGAGAGGAGAAGTAGCTTGACATCAGAGACTATGGCTGGATGTCAGAGAGAAGCAGCTTGATCTCAGAGGGCCAGCATGATGGTGTAACTTCGGAGAAGAACCCAGCCGGAGATGGCTGGAATTCAGGAGAAGATTACCTTCTCACCCCATCTCCTTGTCAGCTCTCCTTCTGGCTATTAGCCACTTTCATCAGAAATAAAATCCCCCACATTTACCATCCTTCAATTTGTTCATCCAACCTTATTTCTCCTGGACACCGGACAAAAGCTTGGAAGTCACAAGTGCCAATATAAAAGACAGAGGCCCACTTAACACTTAAGTTAACACTTAAGTCATCAGCAGAATGGCAGAGCTAAAAGAGCACTGTAACACTTCTTCTGTGGCTTCAGAGGTTGTGGGTCCGCATGGAGTTTTGCTCCTGCTTGCACCCAAAAGTGCTCTCCTCAGCTCCTGCACCTGCTCACCTGCACACTCCCTCCTGCAAGTGGTGGAATGCATCAGGTGCAGGTGAGTGGAGTTTGCCCCTGCCATAGTGGCTGGCTGCTTCCAAAATTCCCACACTCCAGCTCCTGCCCCGTTCACTTGTGTACTCCCTCCCGCAAGGAATTGAAAACTGCAGGCTGGGTAAACAAGTCACCCCTGTCACAAGTCCCACGAAAGGTCAGGGAAATATCCTGCTTCAATTATGTCGTTTGTAAATAAAGACTTTTGTTAGATTCTTGTTCAGACTAGATGCCTTTTATCTCTCTTTCTCTTTTTTTAACTAATTGCATTGGCCATTACTTCTAGTACAATATTGAGCCAAAGTGTTGAGTGTGGAACTCCTCATCTTTCTTTCTGATTTTGAGAGTAAGCATTCCGTTTTTCACTATTATGTGTGACGTTCATTGTAAGATTTTTGTAAATATTCCTTAACAGGTTGAGGAATTTATCTTCTACACTTAGTTTGCTGAGGGTTTTCCCCTGGAATGACTGTTTGATTTTATGGAATGAATTGTCACTATCTATTGGGCTTTTATTTTGTTTCGTTTTAGTTTTTAAATGTAGCAAATTACACTGATATTTTTTTATTTTAAACACTTCACATTCCTATGATAAACACACTTGATCATAAACTTTATTTTCTGCATAGTTAAATTATATTTGCTAAAATATTGTTTAGAATATTTCTATCTATGTCCCTGAATGACAGTAATTTGAAATTTTATTTTGTAATATTTTTGTCCAGTTTTGGTCTCAGGGAAATACTGACTTCATAGAATAAGTTGGAAAGTATTCTTTCTTCTTCAATTTTCTGGAAGAGTTTTTAGTAAAATTGGTATGTTTTCTCTCTTAAACATTTGGCCTAATTCACAAGAGAAGCCACTTATGCCTAGAGCTTTTTTTGACAGGTTTTCTAACTAAAAAATTTACTTATTTAGTAAATGTAGGACTATTTGAGTTATCCCTTTCTTCTTGAGTAAGCTTTGGTAGTTTGTGTCTTTCAAGTAATTTATTTATTTTTATTTTTATTTTTTTTTTCTGACTAATCCGAGTTAGTCAAATCCTGGAAGGAATTTCAGGAAATTCCTTCCGTAAAACTGCAAAATCAAGTTAAGGATTAGAGGCATGGGGATGAAGCTGCAGGAGTAGCTGCAAAAGTGAGATATTTGTATAAAACACATTAATATACACCAGAAAGAAGCCCCTATACCAACAGAATTAAACATCCAGTCACTGTAGCCACCTTAGGGCTTTGGCATTTGGGTCATGAATGGAGTAGCCATGGTGATAGAGAGTGAAGCTATGCACGAGCCCACCAGCATAGGCTCCCCCTCACTAAGGCTAATCTACTTTTCCTCCTGTTAATATGTCCAACCTGTCAGGAACAGAGAGAGACCAATGCTAAGTCCCCAGTATAGTACCCACCCACAAGGAAACTAATCAGACATTTGGTGGATAAATGATGACATTGAACCCCTTCTACCCTCAAAAGGGCAACATTTTTTTGTGATCAAAATTAATATACCTTCTGGATATGTGTTCACCTTTCTTCCTCACAGTGATTCAGCAAGCACTACTACCAAGGTTTCACAGAGTTTTCATCTCCTAATATAATATCCTACATATTAATATCCTACATAATACTATCACCTCAGACCAAGGGATCAACTTCACCTTAAAAAAGAAATATAACCATCAAATCAATTAGTCCTACCACATAATGCACAGTTGGAAACCACCAGCCTAAGAGAGCAATGAAATAGCCTCTTATAGATACAGCTGAGGTGCCAGCTTGGAGATGCTATCCCCTACAAGCATGGGGTGCTACCACTCCCCATGTGGTATATATTTTATACCAATTGTCATTTTATGGCGTTGATCCACAATAGGTAGAGAACATGGGTTTAGTAATCAAAGGGGGATGTAGGAGTGGTCCTGGTCATCATCACTTATTCCTAAAGACTTACTTAGGGAATTTTTGTTTCCTGTCCCCACAGGTTTAGGCTTTGCCAGTCTAGAGTTTCTGTTTCCCAGAGCATGTATTATTATGCAAGGATACATAGTTACAGTCCCTCTAGATATAAAAATATGTCTGCTGCCTGGTCATTTTGTACCCCTCATGCAGTTAGAGCATGAGCAGATAAATGAGCTCCCATACTAGCAGGGGTAATTGATTCTGGTCTTCATGAGGATTTAGGGCTGCTGCTACATAATAGGGACAGGGAGAAATATATTTAGCAATCAGTTGGGTGGCTCTTGATAACTTGCATGCACAGTTATAGCTATAAAAGCAGAAATGCAGCTACTAAGGCTTGAAAGGACATAGTAACCAGGAACCAGACAACTTATGGGTAAGGGTCTTATTTAGCCTCCTAGGCAAGACATATAAACCAGTATAAAAGCTAGCCAAAGGGAGGAAGAATCTAATGGAAGAGTGATATATTAAGTATTAATTATTATCTTGAAATCAACTGAAGCTATGGCAACTGTAATTTAATGCTGCTCTTAACAGTTTTCTCAGAAATTTTGACAAATGAGAATACTAGAGAAGCTGTGTCTGGATGTAGAGAACATAATGTGACCAGCAGGTGGATCTGAGTAGAGCAGGGAGAGGATTGTAGTGGTACTATTGATGTCTGCCCAAATACTCATTAAGGTGAGCAGTACCTATTCCCCAGCTAAAGTGTTGGCTGATAACTCCCACCTACTCCCCTGTCTAAATAACTTCCCTCAGCTAAATGAATGCCAATCTGACTGGGTAGCTAACCTTACTCCTCTCCAGGCCCCTGGAGTCGAACTTCGCCAAAGACTGAATTGAATGTTCCACTTGCCTCTAGTTTACTAAATCTATTGTACATTTCCCTCCAAATTTCATTGTGGGTTGAGACTAGACACCCCTAAGACCAAATTATTCTTCCCCTACCATATCCTGCTTCCTTCACTCTCTCCCAAGAGCATTCCCACAATAAACGCATGAGGAAGAATCTCTGTACCAAGTTTTAGGAAATGCAACCTGAAAGTCTTTGGAACCAAATCAACACAGGAGACTAAGTGTGAAACCAAAGGCAAATGTAGGCAAACAAGAAGGAAATTTCCTTTATTTTGCACTTTTTTTATGGGTTTGATGTATGTGTATATATATATATCCAGTGGCACTAACTCTAATACATATATATCAGTCCTACAAATATATACAAAAATTACTGAAGAAATAAGTGAACTACAATCATAGAAACAAACTACTGTAAAAGTAATATGGATACCTTCATTGTATTCAGAATGCTGTTGAGAAATCTTATCAGAGCAACCTCTCCTGGTGTCCAAATACAGCTCAGAGATCATCACAATTTCTTTGGTTCGCAATTTCTTTGGTTCTCACATGTGTATTTCTTACAAAGAGAAATGCTCGATCTTTCCCATGCATCTTCAATAAATATGCTAATAAATATATAGAAAATCTGTAAATCTAGAATTTTATGAATTCATTTTTTTTTTTTTTTGAGACAGGTTCTGGCTCTTGTGCCCAGGCTGAAGTGCAGTGGCACAATCTCAGCTCACTGCAACCTCTGCCTCCCGGGCTCAAGCCATCCTCCCACCTCAGCCTCCCAAGTAGCTGGGACTACAGACATGCACCATCATGCCTGGCTAATTTTTATATTTTTTGTAGAGACGGGTTTTGCTGTCTGTTCCTCCAAAGACTGATTGCAATCTATATTTTGAATCAGTTTTGTTTTACTCCATACTGCAAGTCTTTATCTGCTTTTTAGACACAAGAGGCCTTGTCTACTGGCCAATACCCAATATTTGTTCTATGCTATACCCTGATAAATATCACTATGTCTGGTGTTCTCTTATAGACCCCATATAACAGCTTTCCATTACTTGGTTTTTATATTATATCACAATTAAAGTTGCATGTTAAGTAAAACACAAGTACAGCTAGCTAGCTATTATTCAACATAGATTTGTGGTATCTATGGATCATAGTATTCTATATAATGAAAAGATGAATTTGATAGATTTTTTCCATAAAGCATTCTAAGATTATCAAATTTCCATTATAATAAAGTAAAATATGCATAATGGCATTATTACCATTTAGTGTTTTACATTAATGGATTTAGTTTAGATTCATAAAGCCCTCGATTTAAACTATGTTAAAGATGCTATTGTTAACTTCATTGACTACAGAACTTTAGATGTGTGGTTCCAATTAACAGAATGTCAGGTGTCAGATAATTTGCTATGTTATTGTAACTCAATTAAAATAATGAATAATTAGATTCCATAACCAAGCTACAGGTCTGGAGAATGAGCAAGAGTTCTGGCTTCATTCCCAGCTCAGTCAATATCCATTACAAATAAATAATCTCACCTGCCTATTTCATTTTCTCCATCTATAAATCAGAAATGCTAACAGTTACCACATTAAGCCCTCAGAGCAAGTTGTAAAGATTAAGAGAGTAATGATTGAAAAGCTGTTTGTAAATCTTCAATCTTAAATTATTATTCAAGGGGTTATGATTATGTGGTTTCTACTTAAATATAGAACCATATAAAGTCATATTTAATCTTGAAAAACTGAGCAGATGCAAATGCCATTATAACATCCCCTACACACATTCATAAATGCTAGCTTTTTTCACATTTCCAAAATATATGTGAAAGATATAATATTATTACAAAAGGTAATAATTTCCATATGTTAGTACAAAGGAAAAATGAGAGTAAATTTACCATTTGAAAGTTTGAAGTCACTACCTGATATAAGAAATTTAGTTCTACATAAGTCAAAATCAAAGACTGAATTTAGCATTTGTCTGTAGAATCAATGTTTTAAACTATCTACCAATAATCCCATATCAGTTCTACTTCTCCTAGAAAAATGTATTCTCGTTTTCATAAAACACTTTAACAAGTCTTCAAATATATATATTTTATATTCAGGTTCCAAAATATAACATCTCTGACTTCTTTTACTTTGGACCTTGGATCAGCATATCTCTTTACATTCCATTTTTTTCCTTTCTTATGACAAATTTAAATAAATAGCTTTTAGTGATATGGGATATTGATGATCTGATCAACACATTGTAAGTTTTAGATTTAAGTCTTTAATCCATTTTGATTTGATTTTTTATATGGAAAGAGATACAGTTGTAGCTTCATTCATCTACATATACTTATCCAGATTTTCCAGCATCATTTATTAAAGAGATTGTCCTTTCTTCAATGTGTGATCTTGGCACCTTTGTTGAAAATTAGTTGGCTATAAATGCATATTTTCATTTCTGAATTCTTTATTCTATTCAATTGATCCATGTGTCTGTTTTTATGAAAGTATCATGCTCTTTGTTTACTATGGCTTTGTAGCATATTTTGAAGTCAGCTAGTGTGATGCCTCCAGATTTGTTCTTTTTGCTCAGTATTGTTTTATGTATTCGGGGTCATCTGTGGCTCTATACAGATTTTAGGGTTTTTTTTTTTCTATTTCTGTGAAGAATATCATTGTTATTTTGATATGGATTGCATTGAATTTGTAGATTGCTTTAGATGGTATTGACATTCTAACAATATTAATTATTCCAATCTGTGAGCATATCTTTCCATTTACTTGTGTCCTCTTCAATTTCTTTCATCAGTATTTTATAGTGTTACATGTAGAGATCTTTCACCTCTGCTGTTGAATTTACTGCTAGGTATGTTACATATTTTTGCAGTTATTGTAAATGGGATTGCTTTCTTGATTCCTTTTCCAGTTTGTTCACTGTTTGCATTTATAAATGCTGTTATTGATTTTTATATGTTGATTTTGTATCCTGCAAATTTACTGAATTTGTTCATCCGTTCTGGTTTTTGGTAGTCTTTGTGTTTTTCTAAATATAGCATCATGTCTGCAAACAAGGAAAATGTGACGTCTTCCTTCCCAATTTGGATGCCATTTACTTCTTTCTCTTGCCTAATTGTTCTGGCTAAAACTTCCAGTATTATGATGAACAAAATGATAAAAGTGGACATCTTTGTCTTGTTCCAGATCTTAGAGAAATCTGGCTTTCAATTTTTTCTCTATGCAGTATGATGTTAACTGGAGGTTTGTGGCCTTTCTTGTTTTGAGGTATGTTCCTTCTATGCCCAGTTTGTTGAGAGTTCTTATCATAAAGGCATGTTTAATTTTGTTGACTTTTTAATTAAAATATTAAGAGGTCTCTTGAAAAATCATGTGGCTTTTGTTCTTGATTCTGTTAATGTAATTGTATCACATTTGTTTATTGATTTGTATATGTTGAACCATCCTTGCATTGCTGGGATGAATTCCACTTGATCGTGGTTAGTGATCCTTTTAACATATCACCCGCCTTTCTGCCTCTCTGCCTTCCTTCCTTCCTTCCTCTTTCTTTCTTTCTTTCTTTCTTTCTTTCTTTCTTTCTCTTTCTTTCTTTCCTTCTTTCTTTCTCTCTCGCTCTTTCTTTCTTTCTTTCTGTCTGTCTGTCTGTCTGTCTGTCTTTCACAGAGTTTTGCTCTATCACCTAGGCTGGAGTGCAGTGCTATGATCTTGATTCCCTGCAGTCTCAACCTTCTGGGCTCAAGCAATCCACCTGCCTCAGCCTCCTGAGTAGCTGGGACTACAGGTGCACAACACCACGCCTGATTAATGTTTAAAAACCGTTTTTGCAGAGATGGGGTCTTGCTGTATGGCCCAGTCTGGTCTCAAATTCGTGGCCTCAGGTGCTCCCTCCACCTCAGCCTCCAAATTATTGGGATTACAGGCATGAGCCACCATGCCTGGACTTGCTTTTTGTTGTTGTTGTTGTGTCCTTGTCTGGTTTTGGTATGAAGTTTTACAAAGCATAGTCTTTAAAAATATTAGGAAGAAATCTTTGAAAGGGAATTTGTAAAGATATTACACTAATTGCAGATTTAGATAAAATTAAAGTTTATTAAACTGTGAGAGAATTTTTATAATGGTAAAAAATTGCAACAAACCTAAATAGATGTCAAAAGAGTGTGCAAATTGTCAGAATCAAAACAGAATCATGTTAAAATATTGAAAAATGGTGCTGGAGATGGTCATGAAGAAAGGGTTCTCATGTACAAACTCCTGATGAGAGCTATTACAAAAGACTCTGCTCAACAAAGGCCATCACAACCTTACACACACACACACACACAAAATATGTTGAAGAGGACATCTGCCCAGCAACATCCTGTCCAACCTTGAACAGGTACCACCCTTGTTATTGATCCTTGAAGCCAAGAATTATTATCTCAAAACAATATGTAGTCCTCCTCATTTTTCTTTAAAAATCTTTGTCTTCCTTCACCTTCTTAAATACACACATAATTTACTATGGCTTGTATAGTCCCATTCTAATGCTTATTCTCAAGTAAATATCATTTTCTTTTAGACAGTCTCCCCTCTTTACTTGTTATTTAGGTTGACAAGAGTAATAGCAAAATAAATTATATTTTGTACATAATAGAATTACTATGCAGCTACTGTATTGTTGATTTTGTGTAATATTAATACTATAAAAATGCTTAAACATTTTGCGATGTGAAAATGCAGGATGCAAAGCTATAATACAAGATATTTCAAAGTAAAAAAATGCTTGTGGAAAAGAACAACTGTAAGAAAATATAACAAAATCACAGAGAAATTATCAGTTTTATTTTTATTTTTTATACATCCTTAGATTTCTCTCAATTTTATTGTCAACCATTCTCCATTTCCTTAATATCTTGGGAAAAATACATCTATGATGAAAGCATGTTGACCAAAATTTCTGCTTTAGTTTTGTAATGTCATTTTGACATTAAATTTTTGTATTTCCATTTGAAATTATTTCTTTAGCATCTATTGTCTTAAAACTTTAAAAATATTTCTTACCCTCTACTTCAAGAACCATAAGAGTTTTCTAAAATCACCAAAATATTAAAATTGAATGTTAAAAATGAGCTATCCTTTTATCTATGACATTTTGCTCCTCATTTCTCTAATAACTTATAAATGAATTAAATTATTCCAGAAATGTGTGTTAACCTTCTATTATATGCCAGTTAAGTTACTGTATGTCAGAATTACATTCTGCAGTTTTTGGCTCGACTTTATTTAAAATAACTTTGAGGATGTATTTTGGTGTTTTTTTGCATTTTGTCCTATTAATAAAATATTGTTTTAATCTCAGGGGTTGATACTTACATTGGCTTACTAAGCCTGTATTTCATCCACCTTGTACGTGAAGAGGTTGGAAAGCTAAAACTTAACATTTTCTGCACTTTCAAGTAGCTCATTTCACTAATTTAATGTACTTCCACAAAAATGGGAAAGTGGAAATGAGGCAGAGGCAATCCTGTGATTCTGGGCTGTCACCACTAGTGTGGAAGGTCATGGTTTCTCTGTAATAGGTTCCAGTATTCATTTTCAGGAATATGCTCTGATACCTGGTTTGCACCTTTGTGTGCCCATGCTCTAATTTCCCTGTGTTCAGACTGTGTCAAAGCGACCAAAACTTTAGACCTAGACTGGTACAACTTGGGTAGTGACATCAAACATGATAGTTCCCTTAGTTTGTCAGCTTTATATTATTATTAGAGTCATTCCAAGAACCCTGCCTGGAAACTGCTGATTTACCCCATTCAACAATTTTGCAAAGTATTTAAACTCCTGTGTTAGTAATATCTTGCTGAAATATCTAGAGTAGTTTTTGTTTCCCACATTAAACCCTGCCTGATTATCTCATTCTTTTCTTTAGCTATTTTATCCTTGATACTCATTAAAATATATTTCAACAAAAATTATAAAGAAGAGAACTCACTATTTTAAAAAAAAGTAAGTTCCTCTGTCCTTCTTCATGGGTAAAGATTTTTTTCTTTCTTTCTTAAAATGTCATTTTATAAATATATATAAATATTACATATATAGTGTGTGTGGAATCATACATATATGTACACATATATATAAAGAGAGACATATATGTGTATGTATATATATACATACACATATATACACGTGTGTGTATATATATGCATACACATACATACACATATATATAGTCTCACACAGTTTCCTGTGGCACAAATATAATAATCCTAAAGACACCCATCTTAATGCAAACAGTTGTATAATTCAAATTTCTCCCTGTGACATGTGAGAGTTCAATCCCATTGAAAAATTCTTTGTGCTTTCTCTGACCTTTGCAGATTTGTGATTGCTGAATCGTCTACTAAAATATTTTAGCATCAGTAAATGCAAGTGAACATAAAGTAAATGCCAGCAAGGTACAGGAGGGTATTTTAAACACTCTACATTAATAACATTACTAAAAAGTCAAAGATTTTATGCACATAATAAATGTAGAGAGATGGTAGAAAAATTAATAGGCAGGTTAAGCACATATATTGACCAACACATCAATACTTATATGCAAACAAAATGTATATTTCTTCTTAAAATTTTAAACCTGTTAGGGCCGGGCGCGGTGGCTCACGCCTGTAATCCCAACACTTTGGGAGGCTGAGGTGGGCCGATCATGAGGTCAGGAGATCGAGACCATCCTGGCTAACAAGGTGAAACCCCGCCTCTCGTAAAAATAATAATTAAAAAGAATTAGCCAGGCGTGGTGGCGGGCGCCTGTAGTCCCAGCTACTCGGGAGGCTGAGGCAGGAGAATGGCATGAACCCGGGAGGCGGAGCTTGCAGTGAGCCCAGATGGCACCACTGCACTCCAGCCTGGGCGACAGAGCGAGACTCCGTCTCAAAAAAAAAAAAAAAAATTTAGATCTGTTAATATTTTAAGTGACAATAGATTTTAATCCTCACCACCCATTAATTGTCAGTTATTCTTTAGAAAGAATAGTAGTCTACATAGTTGACTTATTAAAATAATATTATGCTGTGGTTTGATCAATCAAATTAAGAATTATTTATATAAGCCGGGCGCCATGGCTCACGCCTGTAATCTCAGCACTTTGGTAGGCCGAGGAGTGCGGATCACTAGGTCAGGAGATCGAGACCATCCTGGCTAACACGGTGAAACCCCATCTCTACTAAAAATACAAAAAATTAGCCGGGCGAGGTGGCGAGCGCCTGTAGTCCCAGCTACTCAAGAGGCTGAGGCAGGAGAATGGCGTGAACCCGGGAGGCGGAGCTTGCAGTGAGCGGAGATCGCGCCACTGCACTCCAGCCTGGGTGACAGAGCGAGACTCCGTCTCAAGAAAAAAAAAAGAATATTTATATGAAATTGAGTTTCAAATCAAACAAAAAAGGAAGTCAAACCCATAAAAGCCAACAATGTAAACATCAACCAGTAGAATTGATGTCAACGTGTATGATAGCACTCCAAAAAGAAAAATCGCATTTTAAAATATGTGTCACCAAAACTTAAAAGCAAAATATGTATTCTATGCATTCATTGCCAATCCAAACGTTAATTGGTATTTGTGGACCCCAGCGTCTACATTGCCTCTTTTGGAGATTATCACTTAATCTCTTCCCAAAATTAAATTTAACTTTTCTTTTATCTTATTTATTATTTCGAGATACAGTTTCGCTCTTGTCGCCCAGGCTGGAGTGCAATGGCACGATCTTGGCTCACTGCAACCTCCACCTCCCAGGTTCAAGCGATTCTCCTGCCTCGGCCTCCCAAGTATCTGGGATTATAGGCACCCGCCACCACCCAGGCTAATTTTTGTATTTTTAGTAGAGATGGGGTTTTGCCATGCTGGGCCTGGCTACTCAAGAATTCCTGGCCTCAAGTGATCCGTCCGCCTCGGCTTCCTAAAATTCTGGGATTACAGGCATCAGCCACTGTGCAGGCCATTTAACTTTTTTAATGATCTATTTAAATAAACAGAAATTTATTACACTTCATTCATGATTGATTGTTTGATTGCATAGTTACAAACCCAAACTAACTCAAACTAACTTAAGAAAAAAATAAGAATAAAAGTTACTTTATGTAATCCAAAAGCAAATTGTGGAATTAAAACTCAGATATAACTAGGGACAAGAAAAGTCAAGAAACAAGTCTACTGTTTTTAGTGTCACACTTTCCATCATTCCCCCACTGTAGTCTGTTCTATAGTCTATTATCCACAAAGCGACCAGTGTCATAAATAAAATGACACAAATGAAATCATGTCCCAGATCCTCCAGAGGCTTCCCATCTCATTAAAATTAGGGCCAAAATTATGGCCATAGCCTATAAGACCTGTGTAGTCATCTCTCTAACCTCATGGCCCACTCTACTTCAACAATACTGATTTCCTTGCTGTTTCTAGAAAAATTGTGCATGCTTTTGCCTCAAGACCTTTGTGGAAAATGCTCCCTCTTGCTGGTATGGTCTTTTCCTAGAAAACTTGCTATTGGTAACATATTATCCCAAAATGTAGTGACTTAAATAAACAAAGGTTTATTATCTCATATTATATCTATGGCTCAGGAATTCAGGTGTGGCTTCATTAGGTGGCTCTGGTCCAGGTCTCTCATCAGGTTGCAATTCAAGATGTTACCTAGTACTGCAGTCATCTGAAATTTTAACAGGACTGGAGCTTCCACTTCTAAGGTTTATCACACGGCTGGCAAGTTGGTGCAACATATTTGTGATACTCGAAGGGAAGAAAATATGAATCGGCCAGGCATGGTGGCTCACACCTGTGATCCCAGCACTTTGAGAGGCCAAAGAGGGTGGATCACCTGAGGTCAAGAGTTCCAGAATGGGCTGGCCAACATGGTGAAACCCTGTCTCTACTAAAAATACAAAAAAGCTGGGAGTGGTGGTGGCTGCCTGTAATCCCAGCTACTTGGGAGGCTGAGGCAGGAGAATTGCTTGAACCTAGGAGGCGGAGGTTGTAAGCCGAGACTGTGCTACTGAACTCCACCCTGGGCAACAGAGCAAGACTCTACCTCAAAAAAAAGAAAAGAAAAGAAAAGAAAAAAGAAAATATGAATCAAGGATTTTATATCCTGCCAAGTAGTTAACCTTCAAACATAACGACCATAAGAAAGTAGTTATGCAGCTGCAAGAATGTTAGTTTAAAACCAGTAGGAAGTTACAAAGATGAAATCAGAGCAAAACTCTAATCAAAATCTTCTGCACTTAATTAATATACTATAATGAGAAAAGTCAAATCTAAAACTGTTTAAACATATAGAAGTAATTTTATGAGGTCACATCATGGGCTCATGTTTGGCCTACTGTTATTAGCAATAATTCTAAAGCACAGCCTTCAACCCAGGCAGCCTTGTTGCAATTATAAAAGTATGAGTGATTTAAAAAGAGCCTAGCAGATATTTGGTATGGGAATGGCTCAGCTAAAACCAATACCCATAACTGTACAAATAACTCAAGGACCTCTCATCTTTTCTTGGGTCAGTGGCATTTTCTTAATCCATTGATAGTGTCTTAATAGCCTAACAAGTGCTTATATTCTATTATTCTTCTAATAAAGTCTAGGTTTAAAAAAATACAAGGTGACTTTACTCAGAAAAGTTCACAAATAGGACTAACAGATTAAATCATGTAATAATAAGGCAAAATAATATGTAAATAAATATGATTTTTCAGTAGTGACTTTGGATAATGGCGAATTATGAAAATAACAAAACATTCCAAATCCGGGTTAGATTGTTTCTAAATATGTTATAAATTTCCTGTCAGTTTATGTGTCTTATCTTTGCATTCTTTAAAGTCCCCAGTAGTATGCCTGCATTGCAATTGATAATGTTAAATATCAATTTAACATTTTGATTGAGAGAGTGGAGGAAAGAAGACTTTTAGTCTATAAAATCAATACACCAAAAAATTGCATTTGTTTAAATCAGCAGTAAACATAAAATGTAATTTTTTAAAAGACAATGTTGACAATAGCCTCAAAAACTATAAGAAATCTGTTACATTATTGTATTTAACAAAATATGGAAGAGCTTGTTAAATAAACTTATAAAACTGTTTAAAAATCTGAAGAAATGTACATAAATGGAGATGTATCCTATATTTATAGATTAGAAGAATCAATATTGTGATGATGTCAATATTCCACAGATTTTATCTCTAGATTCAAATAAATTTGACTCAATATCCCATTTTCATAAAGCTTAACAAAATAATTGTGAATTTTATATGTGAGAGCAAAGAGCTAAGAATAGCCATGACTCTTAAAATGAAAAATGGCAGTGGTATTTTGGAGGGAAGGTATTGCCCTTCAGATGCCCCTGTCAGGGCTAATTATGAGTCTTTAATAATTTAAAATTGTGATAATTGCACAGAGTTAGAGAAAATAGTAAGATGAGTAGAAAGCCCAGAAACACTAATGCAAATTAGAAACAACAACGTATGACAAATATAGCATTATGTATCAATGAAGAAATAACAGACAATCATATGCTAAAACAACAATAATCCAAAAAGAAAAGAAAAGAAGGAAAAAGGAAGAAAGAGAGGGAGTAAGAAAAGGAAAGAAGAAAGGAAGGAAAGAAGGAAGGAAGGGAGGGAGGGAGGAAGGAAGGGAGGGAGGGAGGGATGGAGGGAGAAGGGGAAGGTGGGAAGGGAAGAAAAAAAAGGAAGGAAGGAAGAAGAAGGAAGAAAAATCAGATCTCTAACTTGCACCATAGAACACTACCAATCCAAGATAAATTTTTGATTCAAAGGTAATTACAAGACTTTTAATTTTTTATAAAAAAATAAAATATTTCTGACTTTGACATTGTGAAAAAAGTGATTACCATAAGAAAAAAATACCCAGTTGGATCACATTAAAATTGAGAATTTTTATCTTTTAACATTTAAATAAATAGATACCATTAAAAATGAAAAAAGCAAAGCCATAAACTGGCCAAAAAATATCTGGAACACCTATAAGTCAACCAGTGTTTATTAATTATTTAAGGAACTTCTACAAATAAGAGACAATCTAATATAAATATGTACAAAAGATATAAAGGCATTTCAGATAATGAAAACATATGTGGTCAATAAACACGGAGTGAGGTTCAACTGCCCTAGTGATCAGGTAAATGCAGATTAATATCATACCAAGATACCTTTTTAAACCTAGTACATAAACAATGTTAAAGTGGATTAAAATGGAAACCAGGCCCGAAGAGTCGCTGAGCAAACAAAGCCAGTTAGGCCTCATAATTGACCTTAACCTTGCTTAATTTGCAAACGTAAGTGAAACTTGAGCTATTACTGATGAATGCCTATATGAAAGAAAAATGAAACAAGATTAACAAATCAGAAGCTACTAACTTATAGTTGTATAACTAGGAACTTACAGCAGGATAGACCAAGTGAAACAAGTGTATAACTGTAACTCATCCAATATTTTCTTTACTTTAATTCCACATTTGCCCTATGAAAGCCTTCCCTTGTGTTTCCTTAGTGAAGCCTCCCAAACACTTCTGGTTTGCAGCTGCACTGATTCATGAATTGCCATTTGCTCACATAAATGCTTTAAAATTGTATCATGCTTCAGTTTAATTTTTACCAGCAATAAATAGAAACTTTGACAATATCAACTACTTTAGAAGGTATGGATCAATAGTGACATGGCTAGTAAACGAGTGAGTTTAAACAACCACTGTGGGAAACAAGTTAACATTACTTTGTAAGATTGATATTCATTCACCTAATAACCAGAAATTCTACGTCTAGATATGTGCCATGGGAAACACTTGCTCACATGCATCAGAGTTCATGGACAAGAATGTTCAGAGAAGCACAAATTATAATGTCGACAAACTAGATGTAATGCCTACATATATTATACTAGTTTAAATAACATTAGGTTTAGTCCCACAATGAAATATTATTCAACAATGAAAATAAAATTTAATGAGTATTTAGATGAAATATTATTTTTGTTATTTAAGAACTCTGTTTGTAAATAGATATTACTTGTTTATCTTAAACGGATATAACCCTAGTTACTAGTTCTTAAATGAATATTACAAATTGTGTTTGTGGTCCGGTGTGGTGGCTCATGCCTATAATCATAGCACTCTGGGTGGCCGAGGCGGGCAGATCACCTGAGGTCAGGAGTTCAAGACCAGCCTGGCCAACATAGTGAAACACCATCTCTACTAAAAATACAAAAAATTAGCTAGTCATGGTGGTGCATGCCTGTACTCCCAGTGACTCAGGAGGCTGAGGCAGGAGAATCACTTGAACCCAGGAGGCAGAGGTTGCGGTGAGCCGAGACTGTGCCACTGAATTCCAGCCTGGGTGACAGAGTGAGACTAGGTCTCAAAAATTAAAAAAAAAATTTGTTTTAATTGTGTTTGTGTCAATATTCTTGTGCATGGACCATGATAAGGCTTGGCTGTGTCCCCACCCAAATCACATCTTGAATTGTGGTTCCCATAATTCCCACCTATCATGGGAGGTAATTGAATCATGGGAGAAGGTCTTTCCCAAGCTGTTCTCATGATAGTGAATAAGTCTCATGAGATCTGACGGTTTTATAAATGGGATTTCCCCTGCACAAGCTCTCTTGCCTGCCGCCATGTAAGATGTGGCTTTGCTCCATCTTCTCTTTCCACCATGATTGTAAGGCCTCCCCAGCCATGTGGAACTGTGAGTAAATTAAACCTCTTTCCTTTATAAATTACTCAGTCTCAGGTATGTCTTTATTAACAATGTGAGAACAGACTAATACAAACCCTGATGCATATTAGCAAGTGTTTCCTACAGCATATACCTGGATGTGGAATTTCTAGTCATAAGGTGAATGAATATCAGCCTTACAAAGTAATGTCAACCCAAAAATAAAGCCACATATCTACAGCCAATTGATCTTTGACAAAGTTGACGAAAACTTACACCTGCAAAAGAACACCCTTTTCAATAAATTGTGCTGGGAAAATTGGATTGCCATATACACAAGAATGCAACTGAACCCCTATCTCTCACCATATACAAAAGTCAGTTCAAGATGGACTAAAAACTTAAATGTGAGCCCTGAAACTATAAAAGTACTAGAAGAAAACCTAGAGAAAATTAATCTCAATATTGTTCTAGGCAAATAATTAATGACTAAGACCTCAAAAGCACAGTCAACAAAAAAATAGACAAATGGGACTTAATTACACTAAAAAGCTCTGTACAGCAAAAGAAGTCATCAACAGAGTGAACAACCTGCAGAATGGGAGAAAACATTTGCAAGCTATGCATACAATAGGGGACTGATGTCCAGAATTTTCAAGGAACACAGACAATAAAAAACAACAACAATAACAAATAACACCATTAAAAAGTAGGCAGAGGACATGAATAGATATTTTTCAAAAGAAGACACACAAATGACCAACAAGCATATAAAAAAGGCTCAACATCACTAATTATCAGATAAATACAAATTATAATCATAATGAGATATCATCTTACAATAGTCAGAATGGCTATTATTAAAAAGTCCAAAATTAACAGATGTTGGCAAGGATGTGGAGAAAAGGGAACAATTATACACTGTTGGTGGGAATATAAATTAGTACAACGTCTGTGGAAAATAGTATGGATATTTCTTATAGAACTACAGTTCAATCTAGGTATCTCAGTGCTAGGTATCTACTTAAAGGAAAATAAATTATTATATAGAAAAGATAACTGCACTCATGTTTATCACAACACTATTCACAATAGCAAAGATGGATAATCAACCTAAATGTCTATCAGTGGATGACTGGATAAAGAAAATGTAGTATATCTATACAATGAAATACTATTTAGCCATGGAAAAAGAATAAAATCTTTTGCAGCAACCTGGTTGGAACTGGATAACCTTGTCTTAAGGAAGCAACTCAGTTAAGAAAGTCAAATACCACATGTTCCCATTTACAAGTGGAAGCTAAGCAACTTGTAAACGTGGACATACAGAGTGGAATAATAGAGATTGGAGACTCCAAAAGGTGGGATGGGGGAGAGAGATCAGGGATGAGAAATTACTTGATAGGCACAATAATGGTTACACTAAAAGCCCAGACTTCACCACTATGCAAAATATCCACGTAACAAAACCACACTTGTACCCCTTACATTTATACAGAAAAAAAAAACAGAAATGTTTATGAAGGAAGCCTCCATTAGCCAAAAATCCTCACCTATTTCACCTAAGGTTTAACAAAGCAGTTTTACATCCTCTCTTTTACATACACATGTAAGTCAACTTCCCAACCCCTAACAGATACACACACACACACACACACACACACACGCACACCCCCCAGGCACTTTTTCAGAAATATTTTTGAATGCACAGGGATTTATTTATTTACAAATAAACAAAATTAATGTTAAAAATTGATTATACATCTTGATGAGGGGAGAGTCACAATAACAAAGAAAATATACACATAAAAAAAGTGTATGTAGGAATATTGAAATTCATAGGAATATATGAATTTTTACATTTTGAAAGCCATATGAGCCACCACGATAAACAAGAACAATACATAGCTGAAAGGGGACATAATATATATTTGAAATGAGTCACACGGTTTGTATTCCTTCTGAATGTTTAACTTACAGACTGAGGAGGGAAGGGTCTCACTTGTAGGACAGAAACAATGTGTCTTAGAAACAATGTTGACAAGAAAAAGCACTTCCCAGATGAGTGAAGAGATTATTCATGTTCATAAGGCCTAAGAACAAGCGCAACTGGACAAAATATATTTTATGCAGCTAGAAATATGTGTAAACCTAATTTTATGATTAATTTTTAAAGGAAGGTAATAATTACCTCTAGCAGAGAGGAATGGAGATCAGATAGAGATGGAACGCATAATTTTATTGGTAATATATGGTGGTTTCATGCAGGGGGAAAAAAGAAAACTGGAAAAAATTACCCGTGTGAAAAATCTAATAAACTTTTAAATAACCTTTTATTTTAGAAATTATATTTACAGAATTGTTTTAAAGATGTATAAGGAGTTCCCGTATATGCTGCACCCAATTTTTCCTATCATCTTACATTAATATAATTCCTAGGTCATAATTTTTTTTTTTTTGAGGCAAAGTTCACTCTGTCACCCAGGCTGCAGTGCAGTGGCACGATCTCGGCTCACTGCAACCTCCGCCTCCCAGGTTCAAACGATTCTCATGCCTTTGCCCCCCCAAGCATCTGGAATTTTAGGCGCGCACCACCATGCCCAGCTAATTTTTATACTTTTAGTAGAGACAGAGTTTCGCCATGTTGGCCAGGCTGGTCTCAAACTCCTGACCACAAGTGATTCACCTGCCTTGACCTCCCAAAGTGCTGGGATTACAGGCACGATCCACTGCGCCTGGTCCATTTGTCATAATTATAAACCAGAATTGATATGTTATCACCAGCTCAACTTCAGACTTTATTAAGAGTTCTTCAGCCTTACCCTAATGTCCTTTTTCTGTTTCAGTATTCCATCCAAAATACCCCATTACATTAGTCATCATGTCTTTTAGGCTGTTTTTTGGTTGTAACAATTTCTTAGACTTTTCTACTTTTAACTTGATGATTTTTGGTAGTCTTATGGATTACTGGTCAGGGATCTTGTAGAAGGTCCTCCAGTTGGTATTTACCTGATGTTTTTCTTGTGATTAGAACGTGGTTGTGGGTTTTTAGGAGGAAGACCACAGAGGTCAAATGCCATTATCATCATTTTATATCAAGGAGTCTTATTATCAACATGACTTAATCACTGTTGAAGTTAAACTTGATAGCTGGCTGAGGTACAGTTTGTCAGGTTTCTCCACCATTGATTTACTCCTTTTTTTCTCCCTTTAGAAGAAAGTCACTATGCACAGCTCACACCTTAAAGAGTGGGTTATGTTCTACCTCCTTAAAAGTAGCACATCTACACAAATTATTTGGAATTATTATCCAGGGGAGATTTGTCTATTCTCCTCTATTAATTAATTAAAATCATTATACACTCATAGATATTTATTTCACACTTTGGGTTATAATCCATGCTATAGAGTAAATGTTTGTGTCCTTCCCAAATGTATATACTGAAATCCCACAATGTAATTAAAATAAGGAGTTAGAGCCTTTTGGAGGTGATTAGGTCATGAGGGCTCTGCCCATTCATGAAATGGGATTAATGACCTTATACAAGAGATCCCAGAAGACTCCCTCAGTCAGTAGTTCTGCCATGTGAGGACACAGCATGATGACAGTCATCCACAAACAAGGAAGCAGGTCCTTACCAGACACCAAATCAGCCAGTGCCTTGATCTTGACTTCCTAACCTTCAGAACTGTGAGCAATAAATTTCCATTGTTTGTAAGCTACCCAGTTTACAGTATTTTGTTACAGCAGCCCAAACAGACTAAGACAAACACCTTGTAGGAAACAAAGACTGTTCAGGGATAATAAGAGATATTGCCTCAGTGACAAAAGAGCATGCTACAAAAGAGGCACATTCAGAGAAAAAAAGAAAAATATGCCTGGACATTAAGATTATAATAACAGAAATAAACAAAAACTAAATAAAAACATTGAAAGATGAAGTTGCGGCATTGTTGCAGCAAATATAGCAAAAAGATAAAGAGATGAAAAATGAGAGAGAAGATTAAAAAAAAGAAAAAGAAGAAGAATGACTCCAATGATCCTACTTCCGAATAAGAAAATCTCAGTATAAAAAAATTTAGAAAAATCTATTGGCACCTTTATCTTGGACTTCCCAGCCTCCAGAACTTTAAGAAATAAATTTATGTTGTTTATAAGCCATCCAGTTTATGACATTTTGTTATAGCAGCCTGAGCTAAGGCAATCCAATACTACTTTATTTTGTTGCTAAAATTTTCCAGCTATGGCCATTGGGAAGTCTTTCAGTTGACTTCTGTGTGTTTTGAATATACCCCCACCAATGTAGGGATTTTTCCAAGCACTTCCTTACTTTCTAGCACCAGAAGATGCTCCAGACATCTTGTATATTTTGTGTCCCATCCTAGAACCAGCCAACTCTGCAAAGAGTTACTTTTCTAAATTGGAGGATGGTGTTAGAAACAAGATACAGGTACCAGGTTTGCTCATTGCTACTGGGGTGTCATTGCTTCTAGGCTTTCTCAGGTGACAGAGCAATGAGACATATTAATATGTTATAATCTGTATACATATATACTTAGCCATAAATATGTACATATGTTTATAAATATATAAGCAACAATATCTATCTATATTAAGCTAATAAGTTCATTTTGATATCTCCAACTCTAATTGATTACCAGATGGATCATTTCAGCCTTCTCCCTTGCTTATCTGTATCATTCCACTCTAACAGTGAGAAACCTGGTTCTCACCATCTACTGTTCATTTACTCAATTGTCCAATTCCTCTGTATGTACAGTATATGTAATGGTTTCAGAATTGTTAACCCATACACCCATGGGAAACAACTTTATCAAGTAGAGTGTAGTTTTATGTAGAGCTCTCTTTGCCTTTAGCCTCATAGACTCCACTCCCTTCCAAAGTTACTTAGGTCAACTTTTTCCTCCCCCAGTCCCTTCAATGAGATTGTTTTATACATCTGTAATATAGTTAGATTATTTTTTTCACGTTGTGTATTTCATTTTGAGATCCTTCAACTTCCTAAATGACTTTTTAAATATTTTGATACATAAATGTTTACTTTTTATGCTTTAAAGGTCTGTATATTCTGAGACTGCAGGTCTTATATTAGGTAAGTGCAAAAGTTATTGAGTTTTTTGCCATTATGTTCAATGGCAAAAACCGCAGTTACTTTTGCACCAACCTAATATCTTGCCCTCTCCTTTACAGTATCATACAGAATAGTTTGACTGCCTCAAAATTATGTTGCTTCAATTTTTAACCATACCCTATTCCCTGTTGTACCCCTGGCAGCCATTTATGTTTATCATCTCTATAGTTTTGGCTTTTCCTGAATGTTATACAACTGTACTTAAACAGTATGCAGCTTTTCACACTGGCTCTCTTCACTTAGCAATATGCATTTAAGATTCATCCACGTGTTTTGTGGTTTAATAACTTATTTCTTTTTCTTTCTTTCTCCTATGTTCTGAATAATGTCTTATTATATGGATGTACCATAGTTTATCCATTTACTTTTTAAAGAATATCTTGATTGTTTTTGATTTTGGGCAATTACAAATAAAGCTAATGTAAGTATTCATATGCAGGTTTTTATGTGAACATAAGTTTTAAAGTCATTTGAGTAAATACTTAGGAACTCACTTCTGGATCTTAGAGTAAGATTGTGTTTATTTTTGACAGTTTGAAATTGTCGTTGTCTTCCAAAGTGGCTATACATCCCCACCAACACTGAATGAGAGTTTTTATTGCTCTATATCTTCACCAGCAACTGGTATTGTCAGCATTTTTTGTTTTGGTTTGTTTATTTATTTGTATATATTGAAGTTTAGTCATTCTGATCATTGCGTCATGGTAACTCAAAGTTTTAATTAGCAATTCCTTAAAGACAAATGAGGTTGAGCATCTATTCATATACTTAAGTGTTATCTGTATAACATCTTTGATGAGGTATCTGCTCAGATATTTTACCCATTTTATAATTTATTTGTTTTCTTATTAATCAATTTTAAGAATCATTTGTATATTTTGGATACATGTCTTTTATTACCTATGTGTTTAATATTTTTCCCTGTCCTTAGCTTATATTTTTATCTCTTTAACAGTGTCTTTTACAAAGTAGAAGTTTTAGTGAAGTCCAGTATATCAATTATTCATTCATAGATCATGCATTCATTTGGTGGTACGTTTAAAAACTTATTACTAAATACAAGGGAATGTAGATTTTCCTTATGCCTCCTTCAAAAACTTTTATAATTTCCCATTTTACATCTAGGTCCATGATCAATTTTGAATAATTTTTGTGTCAAGTCTAAAGTCCATGTCTAGATTTTCTGTCTCTGTGTGTGTGTGTGTGTGTGTGTGTGTGTGTCTGTGTGTGTGTGTCTGTGTACCTATAATCTTCTAATCAAATTCCATTTATGTAGATTTAGGCCCAAAAAATACCATTGTCTCCCCCTCTGAGTTACTTACAAAACTCAGGTTATAAAACTCTCTTGATATGTTATTTATTAAATTCCAAGTTCTAGGGTTCCGGCAAAAGGCCTCAGAACTTGAGCAGGAACATTTTTAGGAAATACCAACAATTGTGGTAGGAAAAAGGATGCCTACTTCAATTTATCTCCAGGGTAAGTGTCTGTGCCACGGATATACCACTTGGGGGACATACTTCTTGCTCCCTGGGGCTTATAGCTGTATGTTTTAGATACCTGGTCATCAATCTCAATGTTACTTTATCCTGGTTTTCTTTCAATCCAAAAGCAAGCTGTTCATTGTGAATTCTCTCCCAGTGACCCTGCCAGCATGGCCAGACTTGGTGACCATCTCCTTAAGGAGCTAGCAGATGTCCTTGTTCTCTGATTCTGATGTGTAAGTTATCTCCCAAGCCATATAAATAGGCCTGAGAAAATGATATTTATTAGTACTAAAACTCATCAACCTTCTGATGTTTATCCTAAGACAACACATTTCTCAAAACACTTAATTGACAAAATTGACATTTTTATTTGCAATGGCTAAGTGACAAATTGTTGTTAGTATCATTTGGTGGATAGGTTTCAATCTCATATCCAATACATTTAATATTAAAAATTGAAGGTACATAAATGAAGTATATACATTTATTTGATTATATATATTTTTGGTAGTCAAATATTGAATTTAGATCATTTATATTATAGTTTATATGTTATAAGCTCACGGGTTCATTAACATATTTATGAAATATTATTAGTAAATGTAATTAGTCAATTATTCTTCATGCCTTTTGAACCTAAGAACGTTATTATTATATGCTCCTTGGTTGGAATTTTCAAACTAGTTCAATATTCTAGAACACTCTTTTTATAATGTCATTAGATATTGCTAAAAACAACAATATAAGCAACCAAGTAAGTAAAAATATTCTAAACTTCTAAACTAAAAATGTCTGATCAAGTCTGGAATATTTCCCAGAAAGAATCCATTGAATGTAGGTTACCATGGTGATTAGCAAGAATGTGGAATGAAGTTCATTTCATGATAATTGCTACATATTTGCAGCTGAAGTGCATCTTTCAGTTTCAGTCTCAGACTTTGAGACCATAATAATAGCTCTGGAATATGAGTTGTATATTTAAACCTATAATATTGTGCAGGGGCATATCTAATTCTGTGGAGGTTCTTTTTTTGCAGTGACCAACATGGTAATTTTTAAAAAGCTTATTCCTGTTTGTTGGAATTTCTGTGTATAGATTATGTTTGATTGATTCTTAAAAAACAGAATTTATAATGTCTCCAAATCAATTTAAAGATAAAAGCATTTTATTTTAAAATCCTCCCCCCTTAGAAAGAAAGCTGAATTTAATTTTGAGGCAGCTGAATGCTCTTGCTTTGTAATTATTTCTGAAGAAGTTCATGGTCAGATGCCAACTTTTGTGAATTAATAATAAGTTTTGATAAATTGTGCCAAAATCAGAAAGTTAGTGCTTTGAAAAGCTGTTTTAACACTTTGGGGCTAAGCAAAAATTAAATGCAGAATGTAACAAGTTGCTAAGGGATTAGTGTGTGATATTGAAGTGTTATAAAGAAGCCCAATAACAAAATTCTTAAAAATAGACGTAGAACAGCTATGTCAAAATTCCTTTGCTGTGTACTACTACTTTGTGTGATGTTTTCTGCTTACAGAATATTATCTGTTTTTGATTAATTTTTACAAGAGCCTTCCAAATAAAAATAATATCAAAAATAAAGATAGTACGTTTATCGAGAATTTACTGTGTAACAGACAGTATTCTACATACACTAACTCACTCAATCCTTACAATAATACTAAGGAGTAGGTTACTGTTATTATCTTTGTTTTGTGGATGATCAAATCAAGGCATAGAACAATGCAGTGTTATAATTTGCCCAACATCACATAGTGTAGGGCACAGCCAGAAATCAAATTCAAAGAGGCATCCTCTTAAACAAATGATGCTACAGTACACTGCTGATCTGAAATATTTTTATTCCCGATGTATTGTACCAAAAATGGAGGTTCAAAGAAGTCAAGTAATGCCAATGTTACATAACCATCAAAAGGCAGAAGTGGAACTCAGGTATTTTTTTCTGATTCTAAATCTAGGGGCCATTAGAACTCATGGTCATTATGGACTTGAATGTACAATTCATATCCCTTGTTACCTGGCCAACTGGGAGATAAAACAATGTTTGCTCAAATTGCATGTTATACTTAAGAGCCTTAAGAGTGGACTCACCCATCTCTTACCTATACCTGCCCTTTCCATAAATTAAATATATATTTTCACATGTAAAATGTGGAATATATTATTTTATTTATGTATTTGGAGACTGGCAGAAGCAGGTACTTTATTCTTTTTTCCTTTCACTATTGAAAAACCTATGGAGTTAGTGTTTATATGTTAAAAGGAATTTTCAGTCTGATTACAGTAGTCCTTTTAAAGATTAGGAAAAAGTAAAGGGAAGTGTAGCATTGCACAGTTTCAGAGGGTTAGGAAATTAACTTTTCATATGATTAGCAAAATAGAGAGGAAGGAAGCATGTTAGAATACATAAAACTATTATCTAACAAACGCCTACAGAAGTAACCTTACCCATGAAGAAATGGTCACAAGTTGACATTTTGCGTGTGTGTGTGTGCATAAACTAGGAAGAATTGAAGTTGGTGTCCACATTTTTTAAAAGCCAAGAAAACACGAACAAAAGCAGCCTCCAGCTCATCCCAATCCTATAAAAGTCTACTATGGAAAAATAAGCTGAGCATTATGGCATGGGCCTGTAGCCCCAGTTACTTGGAAGGCTAAGGTAGGAGGATTGCTTGAGTCCAAGAGTTTGAGCCAAGGCTGGGCAACATAGTGAGACTCCATCTCTAATATATATATATATATATATATATATACACACACACAAATGTGTACACATATATGCATATACACAGAAAGTGTTTCTGACAGAGAAAGAAAAGCACTTAGTGGCAGTAGGCAAACCAGGGGAACTGCTGGCTTATGACTCTAGTGGACATAGCTAATGAAAATAACTTCAATAAATCTTTAAGACTAGAATTTTCATGTTATTTGGAATTTTAAATTTAAATTGACAATAACAATTACATGCATCTAACAGTTTTTCACTCTGCAGTATATTCCTTGACATTAAAAGACCAGGACACTAGTAAAAATAGCCACCCTTCAAAGTGTCCTGCCAGGGAAAATTTATGGAGCCTTCGTTTGAGGATATCTGTTTACTCTCTGCTTGTGACTCTATGTGCATATATCCAAGCAGCATAATAATTTTGGCCATATTTAAGAAGAAAATTAAGATATTAGAACAAAATATCGTGTCTTTTTACTTATATTAAACATTTTTATAAAATTAAATTATAGCAACATGCATAATAGTAGTACATTTTTATAACTCAAAATGGGTACAAAGATTCAAAATCCTTTGAATTGTAACAGTGAAATAATTGCAAATAGAAACTCTTTTCAGTGCTTATGTAATAAGTACTTTACCTTTGATAGTTCTATCATTGTCTTATCATTAATGAAGGAATATGCTAGATAGTTATTAAGCGCCAAAGTCTATGAGACATTTTACATATTGGTCCTCACTGACATATAAAAATTAAAACCCCCAAATGAGCAATTTGTCATTATTATAAGTAGTTTGCCATTTAGCTTTTTAAAAAAATTTTCAGTTGTTTATACACGTACAATCTATATTCATTATTGCAATTATTTAAATTATGAAGATTCTTTAAAAAGAAATAATTAACATGAAAAGGTTTCTGCTTTTATCGTGCCCATTTAGCAAGAATACATTGAGCCCTTATGGTTTGGGAAGTCACTTGACATTGTCTGAGAAAATAACAGACTATTGTGACTCCTCAAATTTGCTAATGATATTTTAATAGATACAATTCCCTATAAAAAAGTCAAATATAACTAAATGTGTTAAGGAATGACTTCCAATATGTAAGTCACTAAATAAATATAGGATAGAAATTATAAAGTTATGAATGTTAATTTCACTACTAAAATAGAACATGCTCTATTAAGTACCTCATTATATGATTAGTGTATCTAAAGTTGTCAATTTGTTTTCATGGCACAAGAGTTATTGCTGATTAAAGAAATAATACAGAGCAACAGATCCATGTCTGGCTGTGGAAAGCGAGAGGTCAACAGAATCACGCATCAGCTACATGACTCATTCCCACACACCAATCTTACAAAGCTATGATTCAAAGTTGTGCCTCATCAAAATCACAAATGAGTACATATCACAGGCCTTCTACTAGTCACAGAAATAGAAACTCCAAGTGTTCAATTGGAAAATGCCAAGTATGTTAGCAATTGAGACAGTTTCAAAAGAAAAATGATATCCTTCTTGAGTATAAATAATGTAGTTGGAAGGAAGAAGACTTTCATAGAATGCTGAAAACAAGCAACATCCAAATTACTACAAAAATATAGTATGCATTAAATAGTTACATTTTTCCTGTAAGAGTTTTCAAAATCACCTCCTCTGTTAAGTATTCCTGACTTCTCTAAGCAAATTAATATTTTTTTCAATAAATATATGTTTAGTAAATCTTTCTTAGTATCTGTTTCATATTGTTTTTCCTGTTGTGTCTATCCTCAGAAAGAATTTGAGAATGTCAAACAACACAGTAATCCTATCATATTCATCTTTGGATTTCCTAGCACATTGCCTGAAATATATACTTGTTTATCAAACTAATTCAGTCCCTTAAGCTTTGCTGGGCATGGAGTATTGGACATAAATAACTGACCTTCCCCATTTGCACCAAGAAGGCACTTAATCGGGTGTCATCTGTGGATTCAAATCATGAATAGTAACATTTAAATAAATTGCACGCAATTTATCCCACACCTGGGATGCCATGCACAGAGATACACACAGAGAGGCCATGTAGAGGTATCATGGTTGGAAAGGCATACACTGATGTGACAGTAGAGGATTCCCTTCAGGAGAAGATGTTGATAGTTGATCCTCGTTTTCTGGGTTTCTCTCTAGATGAAAGATCTGCATGTTTACACTTTCAGAAAAGACAGTTCTATTGCGTATTTCACCATTCGCTGTGTATTTATAAATTATATTTTATTTTCTGTCATGATTCAGACAGTTACATTTTTCCCCTCCTGGGACTTCCATATGTAAAGTTGTGATAGCAGAAGTTCTGCTTCTGGTTCTCCCTGTCCATGATAACGCCCTCTCCACAGCTAGCCACTGATGGCTAGGAAAGAGTGATGGTTGGAGCTACTAAAGCACGTAGGTCAGACACACCCTCTACTCCTGAGTTCCTGAGTTCTAGGGCTTTTATCACTAGAGATTCATTGTCATGATTTAATCATTTCTCCTAGTTTTAAAAATAAAAATTATCAGAGAGAAATTCTTACTGTGAGTGAATTGATCAGATCCCTTCCTTTCTAGATAGGAGAAATCTTAGAGCTTCCCCTGAAAGAACCTGACACCACAAGAGAACAAGAATGATGCGATTTAGCCTTGTCTTTCCTGGCAATGCCATTTGGTCTCGCCATGTCTTGTTTATTTTTTAAAATACCATTAAGGAAAGGGGATCTATGGTATCTGCTTTTAGTATATTCTTCTTCTATATTTCCCGTAGCAGGTAACATAGCGAATGTTACATTTACTGAAAACAACCAATTATTACCTTTTCATCAATTAATCAATATTTGTTTTTTTCTCTTTCAATATGAAAGTATTTTTTTCTAAAATTGTTATTGTAACAGACATGTAATTCTGAGATAATTTCTGTTAAGAGAGTGCTTTCATTTAAAACCCCAGAATGTTGAAGCTTCATTTACCAACTATTCAGAAATCATGCTGAGTTGGCACTTGCTTGGCAGCCTAGATTCAGTTGCACTATTGTAGAACCACTTAGCCAATTTAGAGAGTTCTACAGTCTAGTTCAACATGATATTTAAACAATATAGAAGCTTTTCAGAAAGGGAAAATATGAAGATCTGTATTTGTGTCACACTAAATTATACTAAATATTGATATAATGCCACACAAATAGGAAGAGCTTTCCTGTTCTTATAAACTCTCAGGGGAGTCAGCATTATCTGTAAATTCTGTCTTTGAACTGTTTTCAACTTGTGTTCTTCTTGGCTGTAAAATAGATGACTAACAAGGTTTTTCATTGTTGTTCCACGAAGTGTTTAAATGTATTCTTTCTATTGTTGGTTATTTTCAGGAACACTTTCCACATGTATTCATTTCAAAAATTGGTAATAAAAAAAGAATATAAGAACTAACAGTATCATTATGATATATATATATATACACACACATTTAAGATGGGAAATCAATATCATACTACTATAAATTTTAAAAGCTATGTATTTTAATTTTAATATCATAAATATGTATCAGCTATTGCTTATATTACCATTCATATGGACTCCCTTAGGTCAAGAAACTTGATAGATAGATAGATGTGTGTGTGTGTGTGTGTGTGTGTGTGTGTGCGTGCGTGTGTGTGTGTGCGTATTTTTTAAGTTGTCTTTTTAATATCCAAGGTTCTACTGGCAAAATATCATAGATGGCCAATCAGCTGAAAAGAATATATAATCAGTGTTTTTTTCGTTGTTTTTATACAGAAGCAATATCTAAGTGAATTATACATCTAGTTTTTAAAGATAAAAACAGTATTTAAGTTTATAGCATTTAAAGTAAGGTAATGTCGGCTGGGCATGGTGGCTCACGCCTGTAATCCCAGCATTTTGGGAGGCTGAGGTGGGCGGATCACCTGAGGTCCGGAGTTCTAGACCAGCCTGACCAACATGGTGAAACCCCATCTCTACCAAAAATACAAAATTAGCCGGCATGGTGACGCATGCCTGTAATTCCAGCTACTGAGGCAGTAGAATCACTTGAACCCTGGAGGCGGAGAGCCAAGATCGTACCATTGCACTCCAGCCTGGGCAACAAGATTGAAACTCCATCTCAACAACAACAACAACAACAAATTACTTACTCAATTTACAAAAATATGTGAAGTGCCTACTATGTACCAGGCATTATTCTAGATTTCGAGGAAACTGCAATGGACAAAACATAAAAATTTCCTGCCTTTCTGGTACTTATATTCCTAATAGGGAGAGACATAAAACAAAAACAAAAAAAGTAAATTGAGATCAATAACTGTCTTGTGGAGAAAAAGAAGCTGAAAAAAAAGAATGACAATTAATTTTAAAATAAGGTAGCCAAAATATATAGGTCAGATGTTAATTGATAGAATTGTAAATATTCTTTGTGGCTTTTTCACAGGTTCTTAGAGACCCAGCTGAGACACAAGATGGGTGTGTACATAAACTCCAGTGATGACTGTGAAACAGGATTTTCATTGTTTGCCAGAGTCATCTTATTAAATAGCTATGGAAACAGCTCAGGGCATGAGCAGTGTGATTTTTCTGGTCAGTTATGTTCACCAACAAAAAAATTGTGTACACTTTTTTTTTCTGGGAGAATCAAGAAAATTTATCAAGACTGGTTGTGGGGATAGAGGAAGAGGTATAAAATATTTTTTTCTGACATATGGAGGATAGAATCTGATACTTATTTAACCACCAGATCCTTTCAAAAGTAATACTTTTCCATAAGCAGTAAAATTAATCTTGGGTTTCTTTTGCATTTTGGAGCCTAATTCAGTAATGACTAAGTAAAATTTTTGCACTGTTTTGAAACAGAAAATTTTATGGATGATAAGAAATGTATGAGCTGAAAGAATAATAAAAATGAGCTTTAAAAATGAAAGAGCCAGAAAGATTAGTGCCACGATGCAACTAATAGCAAAATCTAGCAGAACAAATTATTTTCTAAGTAAATATTTTGGAAAAACATAGATTCAGAAAACATTAAAATGCTTGTTTAATTTTTTATTTCCGGTACAAAACAAGTTTAGCTTGAATCTTACTCTTATCCTTTTATTTGAATGCCATTGGCAGAGAAAAAAATCTAAGAAATAAGTTCCATGTAGAATTATCTCTTACTCTGACAAGTTATGAGTTAATCATGAATAATAGCAATTATAGTTGACATTTATTTAAGGAATACTATGTACTAGATATAATTACATTTGATCCTGACAGCAACTTTATGAGTTTTGTTTTATTGATGAAGAAATTGAGGCTCAGAATGTTGTTGCTTGGTCAAAGTCAGGTAGCCAGCAAATGACCAAGATAGGAATCAAAGTATTAATAGATCTAGAGCCCACATTCCTAAGCTATGCAAGTCGACTCTTTTAAGTAACATCCTTGAATCAATTGATATAACAGAAAGAAATATTGAAATCTAAAAGTTAAGAGAGGAAACACACATATTGTGAAGATGGACAGAACAATAACAAAAATTTTTATTATTTTATTATAATAGAAAATATTAGGAGTCTTAGAAAAATAAAGGTTATATCATAGCTATACCTTTCCGTTTTTCCTTTTCTTTTCTTCTTTCTCTTCTTCCTTCCATCCAACATACCTCCTTCCTTTCTTTCTCAAACATTGTAGTAGTGTCAAAAATGTGGCAGTTACTGGAATAGCTAAGTGGAATACAAATATGTGAAGGAATAAGCATATGAAAGCCTTGACAATTTACATATAAGGAGCTCATTGATCATCCAAGACAAAAATGCTAGTGGATCTAGGAGGGAAAATTGGTACATGCACACGTACGAGATGAGAACAGGAATGGAGGGGTTAGGACAAAAATGTGAGTCAGAGAAAGGTCACAGATGACACCCTATGTCAGTAGATTATTAAAGGAAGGAACGTGTTTCCCAGACAGATAAGGAAAGGAAGCCATGTTCATGCAAAGCCATTTTCATAAGTATAGAGACATTCATTCATTTGTATAATACTTGTCCATATAACATCTGAAAGGTACCAATGTTTGTACTAGGAACTGGAGAGACAACAGTGAACATAAATTCCTGTGTTTAATAGAACAGTAGAGAAATTATAGTTAAAAATAATTTATTGTATATTTCAAAATAGCTAGCAGAGAAGAATTGTAATATTTTCAATACAAAGAAAAGATAAATATTTGAGATGATGGATATCCCAATCCCAAATACCCTTATTTGATCATTACACATTACACATTTATTAGAATATCACATATACCCCCAAAATATATACAACTATGATACATCAATTTTTAAAAAGCAAAAAGAAATAGGCTATCCTCAGAGTTTACATTCTAGTGGGGGAGATAGAGAAAAACAAATTTAATAAAACTATAATTTAAATTTAGTTGCTAATAAAAAATAACGCAGAGCATGCATTTGGAAAGATTTTATTTTATTTTATGCATGGTGGTCAAGAGAGGTCTGTGTGGAAAATTACTTAATCACATAAGTTGGGGAACTAGCCAATGGCTAGATCATTTAGAGCAAACTTATCCTGTTAAGAGCCAGATAGCAAATACTTTAGCTTTGTGGGCAACAGCTCAATTTTGCCTCAGTAACTAGAAAACAGTCATAAACTACACATAAACAAATTGGGGTGCATATATTTTAGATAAACTCTGAAACCGGAAGACAGACATGATTTGGTCCTTTGAGCTGTAGTTTGTAGGCCACTGTTTTGAAGCAATGGTTCTGAAATTTGGCAGCACATTATAATCAACTGGAGATTTTTAAATATATGTATATTTACACCTGAATTGGACACCAACAGATTCTGATTTATTTGGTCTGGGGTGTGGCCTGCCCTATGGTTACCAACTGTCCCAGTTTGCCCAAAACAGAGGGATTTCTTGTACATGGTTCTTCCAGTGCTATAACAGTCCTTGGCGTCAGCTCCACATATAATGTATGCATCCAATATTGATAATCATGTAAATAGAATCATTCTGACCATGATGTGGAGTCTGATTTCATTCTATATGTGACAGATATCACTGGAGGGTTTTAAGCAGTTGGAGTGGCATAATCTGACTTACATTTTAAAGCCAACCATTACGCTGGCTGTTGACAGAAGCTCTAGAGGAGCAAGAGTGGAATATAAGGGACCAGTCAGATGATTCATAGTGAGACCAGGGAGGGATGAAGATGGTTCAGAGTAGGTTAGTAGTAGGGGAGTGTTTTGTTAGTGTCCCCCCATATGTTGAAACCCTAAACCCCAAGGTAATGGCATTTGGGAGGCAGGGCTTTTGAGAGGTAATTCCGTTTAGATGAGGTCCTGAGGAACTTATGATGGAATTGGCGTCCTTATAAGAAGAGGGCGAGACCAGAGTGTGCTTCTCTCTCTCTCTCCCTCTCTCTCTCTTTATTCCTGCCTCTGTCTCCCCAGTCCCTGCCATATTAGGATACAGCCAGAAGATGGTCATCTGCCATCCAGGAAAAGGACCCTAACCAGGCACCAAATGTGCTGGCACCTTGATCTTGGACTTTTCAGCCTCCAGAACTGTGAGAAATAAAAGTGGTTAATTCACCCATTCTATGGTATTTTGTTAGAGCAATTGAAGTTGATTAAGACAGGAAGTCAGCAAAAATTAGTCTGGTGTAGAATACATTTTGAAAGTTGAGTCAAAAGGATTCATTGCTTAAATAAGTGAGAGAAATGTAAAAGAGAGAAAAGTATAAGTCAAAGATGGTACTTTTGGACT
Organism: Homo sapiens; assembly: GCF_000001405.40. Lineage (NCBI taxonomy): Eukaryota > Metazoa > Chordata > Mammalia > Primates > Hominidae > Homo > Homo sapiens. Next base: position 123,752,490 of record NC_000006.12, read on the forward strand.
GAGATTAATGATGCAATTCCATAAGTTGGAAACACTTGACGAGGAGCAGGTTTAGGGAAGAAGGTTGACTATCATGAGAGGAAGACGATTGGATATCCAAATGGCCATGTCAGGAAGGCAGCTAGAGCTGAAAATCCGGGGATCTGGAGAGGATTCAGGCCTGGAGACATACATTTTGGAAACTTTAAGCTATGGGAGACAGTATAGAGAATGACTGTGGGTGCACAGAATCTGAATATGAAGTCTTAAAGACCATCTGAATCTACAGGAAGAGAAAAAAGGTGATATCACAGAAGAGTTTGAGAAAAAAGAATCAATCAGGAAGATAGAAGACCAGAAGACAACATGGGGCATCTAGAAAAAGGAAGAGTTAGAGACATTAATGAGGAACAGCCTTCTTACTCTTCACTTGTCTTCAAAATCAACACTTACATTGTAAAGATTTTCTTGCACATTAAGGCAAAAAGGTATCCAAGGATTCCTTCAGATAATATGTTTTCTTTTTTCTTTTTTTTTTTGAGACAGAGTCTCTAGCTGTCGCCCAGGCTGGAGTGCAGTGGCGCGATCTGGGCTGACTGCAAGCTCCGCCTCCCAGGTTCACGCCATTCTCCTGCCTCAGCCTCCCAAGTAGCTGGGACTACAGGCACCCGCCACCATGCTTGGCTAATTTTTTTGTATTTTTAGTAGAGATGGGGTTTCACCGTGTTAGCCAGGATGGTCTCGATCTCCTGACCTCGTGATGGTCTCAATTTCCTGACCTCAGGATCCGCCCACCTCGGCCTCCCAAAGTGCTGGGATTACAGGCCTGAGCCACCACTCCTGGCCTTCTTTTTTTTTTTTTGAGAAAAAAAAATTTAGATTTTTATTCAGATCATTGTAGTCAAATGCAGTTTCCCCATATTGTAACATCTTGCAAAACTATAGTACAACAGCACACCAGGATATTGACATTGGTATAATTCATCAATCTTGTCCAGAATTGGAAGTTTTACTTGTTACACTCATTTGTGGTTGTGTGTGTGTGTGTATTCAGTTCTATACAATTTTGTGATGTACAGATTCATGCATCCACCACCAGAGTTAAGACACAGAATAGTTCCATCACAAGGTTTCCGTGTATTGTTCTTTTATAACTATCCCTAACCCCTGGTAGCTAGTAAATGGTTCTTCATTTCTAAAATGTCATCTCAAAAATGTTACATAGATGGAATCATACAGCGTGCTAACTTTGGGAATTGAATTTTTTTACTTGGCATGATTTCCTGGAGATTCATCAAAGTTGTGTGTATCAAGAGTTCATTCAACATTATTGCTTAGTATATATGTGTAACCATTCACCCACTGAGATCTGTTTCCAGTTTTTGCCTATTTTGAATGAAGCTTCTAGGAATATTAGCATACCGGATTTTCTTATAAATATAAGTTTTTATTACCAAGAAGAAGAGCACAAGAGCCCAATACCTGGTCATATTATAATTGCATACTTTTATTAAACTACCATACTTTTCCAGATTTGGTGCACTACCTTACATTCCCATCAACAATGTGGAAATGATCCAGTTTTTTGTATCCAGCATTTGGTTTTGTTGCTGTTTTTTATTTTAGTCTGTCTGATATATGTGTAGTGATATCTCATTGTGGTTTTAATTTGCATCTCCCTAACGGTGAGTGGAGGAGAATATCTCTTAATGTACTTGTTATTTGTATATCCTGTTAGGTGAAATGTCTCTTCATGTTCTTGCTTATTTTCTAACTGCTTGTTTTTTTTAATGTTGAGTTTTGAGAAGTCTTTATATTTTAGATTCTAGCCCTTTTTCAGATATGCATTTTGAAAATATTTTCTCTCAGTCTGGAGCTTATCTTTTCCTCCTCTTCACCTGACCTTACACATAACAAAAATTTTACGTTTTGATGGGTTCAATTTCTCAATTCTTCTCTTATGGATTCTGCATTTTGGCATCAATTATAATAATTATTTGTGTAACTCTAGATCCTGAATATTATTTTCTCCTACCTTACTTTTCTAAAAGTTTTATAGCTTTATGTTATACATTTGAGTTCATTAATTAAGTTTGAATTAATTTTTGTGTGAGAGTGAGGTCTAGATCAAATATCTTTTTTCTTGCCTAGGGATATTCAATTACTCCAGCATTATTTGTTGAAAAGGCTATCTTTTCTGGATTGAACTGATTTTGCACCTTTGCAAAAAATCAATTGTGCATATTTATGTGACTCTATTTCTGGGCTCTCTATCTTGTTTCATTAATCCATATGTCTATCTCTCCACCTATACCACCTACTCTTTATTACTACAACTATACAGTAAGTCATAATATTTCATTGAATCATTCCTCCCACTTGATTATTTTTTATAAAGAGAGTTTTAGCTATTCTAGGCCTTGTGCATTTTCATTAAAATTTTAAATTAAGCTTGTCTGTGTCTCCACAAATCTCACTGGGTTTTTATAGGGATTGAATTAAACCCATAGGTTAATTTGTGAAGAATTGATATTGATATATATGTAATACCTTGAATCTTCTAATCCATGAATATGGTATGTCTCTCCATTTATTTAAATATTTTTATTGTAATTTTGTAATTTTCAGAATAAACATCTTGTATATATTTTGACAAGTAGATATCTAAGTATTTCATTTTATGTGAAGCTATTATAAATGGTGTTTTACTTTTAATTTTGGTTTCTGCATTGTCATTGTTAATACATAGAAATGTACTTGATTTTTATGCATTCATCTTATATCTTTTTACCTTGCTGAACTTCTTTATTAGTTCTGAGAGTACTCTTTTTAAAAATTGATATTTCTAAAAATGTTCTGCTTAGCAGTCATGTAATCTCCAAATAGAAACAATTTTATTTCTTCCATTTTGATCTATATGCCCTTTTATTGTTTTGTTTTGATCTTGCCATATTGATAGGACTAGAACTTCCAGTACTGTTCAGTTTGCTGGAACTTCATAACAAATATCATAGACCGAGTGTCTTAAACAATATAATTTTATTTTATGACAGTTCTGGAGGCTTGAAGTTCAAGATCAAGGTAGTGGCAGGTTTGGTGTTTTCTGAGGCTTCTTTGTCTTGCCAATGGCTGCCTCCTTACCGTGTTCTCACATGGTCTTTCTTGTGTGTGTGCACAATCCTGGTGTCTGTGTGTCCAAATTTTCTCTTTGTATAAGGACCATCAGTCAAATTAGGTTAGGGCCTGCCCTGACAGCCTCGTTGTTACTTAATTACCTCTTTGAACACCCTGTCTCAAAACACAGTCACATTCTAAAGTACTAGGAACTAGGGCTTCAAACACATGAATTTTAGGCAGACACAATTCAACTCATAACAAGTGCTATGTTGAATAACAGTGATGAGAGTGGACATCCTTGACTTGTTTCTGATCTTAAAGGGCTATCATTCATTCAGTCTTTCATCATTAAATATGATGTGAGCTGTGAGATTTTGTTAAATGTTCTTTTTCAGGTTGAAGAATTTCTCCCCTTCCTAAAGGAGTGAGAAGTTGTTTTTTGTTTTTTTTTTTTTCATTATGAATGGGTATTGAATTTTGTTAAATGCTTTTTTGTGTGTGTGCTAATTGATACTATTATACTATTTTTTATTTTTAGTGTATTGACATGGTAGATTACATTAATCAATTTTCAAATGTCAAGCTAGTCTTGCATAGCTAGAATAAATTCCACTTGGTGTATAATATGTTTTATTCATTGTTGAATTCATTTTGCTAATATATTTTGCTTAAGATTTTGCATCTAAATTTATAAGAGGTATTTATCTATGATCGTTAGTTTTATTTTGGGGGACAATATCTTTGTCTGGATTTGGCATCAGGGTAATATTGGCCTCATAAATTAAGGGGGAAGGTATTCCATCCTCCTCTTCTTCTAGAGGAGAGTGTGGAGAACTGGTGTTGATTCTTCTTTAAATATTTTATAGAATTATCCATTGAGAATAGCTGTACTTGCCAATTTCTTTTTCAGGAGCTTTTAAATTATGAATTCAATTTCTTAATTATTATTCAGATTGTTAATTTTATTTTGTTGAGTTTTGGTAGTTTCTAATTGTCAAGTAAATTATGGATTTCTTTTTTTAACATTAAAAAAAATTTTTTAAGACAGGGTCTTGCTGTATCGCCCAAATTGGAGTGCACTGGGGCAATCTTGGCTCAGTGCAACCTCTGCCTCTAGGCTCAGGTGATCCACCTCAGCCTCCCCAGTAGCTGGGACTACAGGTGAACGTCACCACACCAGCTAATTTTTTAAATTTTTTGTAGGGAGAGTGTCTTGCCATCTTGCACAGCCTGGTCTTAAACCTCTTGACTCAATTATCCACCCACCATGCCCTCCCAAAATGCTAGGATTACAGGTGTGAGCCACCATGCCTGGCCAGATACATTTCTTCTAAATTATCTAACTTATGAGTCTAAAATTGTCATGTTGCCCTAGCCTTTTATTGTTTGCAGGATCTGCAGTGGTATCCTCTATCCCTTTCCTGATACCGATGATTTGTTTCTTCTTTCTGTTTAAATTTTTGCCAGACTTGCTAAAAGTTTATCAATTTTGTTTATTTTTTAAGAACCAGCTTTTTATTTTGTTGTTTTTCAATGGGTTTTGCTAGTTTTAGTATCAATGGTTTCTGGGCTTATCTTTATTGTTTCTTTTCTCCTGCTAGCTTTGGTTTTATTTTGCTCTTCTTTTTCCAATTGCTAAAGGTAGGAACCTAGATTATTTATGTGAGTCACTTGATCATTTCTAATGTAGACGTTCTGTGCTATGTTTCCCTCTTAGAACTATTTTAGCTGCATTCTTCATATTTTAATATGTTGTATTTTCATTTTCATTTGTGTCTGTGTACTTTATAATTTCCTTTGAGAGTTCCTTTTCAATCCATGGATTATTTAAGTGTGTTAACTTTCAAGTCTTTGGAGATGTCCTACTGTCTTTCTGATTTCTCCTTTATTCTCCTATGGTAAGGGAACATGTTCTTTAGAATTTCAGTGTTTAAATTCACTTATGTTTATTTTACGACTCAGAATACAATATATTTTGATGAATGTTTCTTGGGTATTTGAAAACAATGCTTATTCTGATGTTGTTCAGTGAAGCTATATATTTGAATTCAATATATTTGAATTAGATTCTGTTAATTAATTGTATTATTCATATCTTCTATATCTTAGCTGATATTCTATTAGTTCAATTAGTTGCTGAAAGGGCAATGTAGAAGTGTCTAACTATAATTGTGGACTTGTCTGTTTCTCCTTTAAGTTCTATCAGTTTTTGCTTCATGCATTTTGAGGCTCTGTTCTTTGGAACATACACATTTCAGACTATTATGTATTTCTTGTAGATTGATTCTTTTATTATTAAATATATCCCTTTTTTGTCTAGTAATATTCTTTGCTTAGAAGTCTACTATATCAGATATCAATATAGCCAAACTTCCTTTTTGTTATGACTGCATGGTATATTTTTCCATCCTTTTTCTTTCAATCTACCTGTCTTTTGAATTTAAAGTGATTTTTTTTTGGTAAAAAAAATAGCCAATAGTTGAATCGTGTTGCTATTGTTGTTGTTTAAATCCACACTGCCAAACTCGGTCTTGTGATTGGTAAAATTAGCCCGTTTATATTTAAAGTAATTGTTGATATGTTAGATCTTAATTCTGACATTTTATTGTCTTCCTTTTGTTTCTTACTCTTTTTCCTGTGGCTCCCTTTTCTTGCCTTTTTGTTGCTTAAGTATTTTTTAGAATTCCAACTTGATTTAGTTACAGCATTTTTAAATTACTTTGTATAGATTTTGAGTGGTTGTTCTGGATATTACAATATTCAAGTCTGACTTTTCACAATTTATTGGTATTGATATTTTCCACTTCAACTGAAACGTGGGAACCTTACTTCCATTGTGATTGCTTTACTCACTTTTAAATATCAATAATATTTGTTTTAATTATGAAATATTGTTTCTGAAATTAATGAGAAGGATATTCTATTGTATGTACTCATATTTCTCCCTCTTTCTTGTTTCTTGTTTCTTTTTCTTTCTGATGCTCAAAATTTCTTCTCTTTTCATTTTTTTCTGTTCAAAGAACATTTCATAGTCATTTTTTAAGGGTAGAATGACTAACAAAAAATTATTAGTTTTCTGTTTTCTGAAAATGTCTTTATTTCACTTTCATTTTAGGAAGATAGTTTTACCAGATTTAGAATTCATAAATGATAGTTCTTTTCTTTTAGCACTTCAACACATTGTGCAATTTACTTCTGGCCTTAATGGCTTCAGATGAGATATTAACTCAAGATGTTAATTCAAGCTGGTGTTCCCCATACATAATGGGTTGTTTCAAGTTGGCTCCATTCAAGATTTTTTCTTTATTTTTAATTTTCAGAGGTTTAATTATTATCTGTACTAGCATGAATTTGTTTGAATTTTTTCTATTTGCAATTCACTCAGTTTTTTAGATTTATGTATTTCACCAAATTTGGAAATTTTAGGCATAATTTCTTCAGATATTTTTTAATCTTCATTTTTTTTTCTTTTGGATATCAATGTATGAATATTAGGACTTTTGTTATTGTTCCACAAGTTCTGTTCATATATTTTCTATTTTCACTTACTTGATCATTTTAGGTAAATTCTATTGATTTTTCCTTGATTTCATTAATTTTACACTGTATTATCTCCACCCTACTATCAAGTACATCAGTTAGATATTTTTATTTAATTTCTATTATCATTATTTTCAGTTATACAGTCTCCACTTCATTATTTTTATGAATTCTTTTTCTTTGCTGAGATTTTCTATTTTTTCATTTATTTTAAAAGAATTTGTAATTAATTATTGAAGCATATTATGATGATGGCTTTAAAATTTTTGTCAAATAATTGCAACATTTGATCCATCTCAGTGTTTGTTTCCATTGATTTTATTTTCTAAAGTTGTGATTTTTCTTCTTCTTACTATTACAAGTGATTTTTAATTGCCTCCTAGGCATTTTGTGTATTATGGTATAAGACTCCGAGTCTTACTTAAATCTTGTATGGGTAGCAGCAGTCACACTAGGTTAAACATAGAGGTTCTGGTCCACTTTTGTGGGCTGTGGTGGCAATATGAAGACTTGAGAGTTTTACTTTGACCTGCTTGGTTTATGTGGTGGCAGTGGAAGTCATACCAGGTCCTACTGTGGCTGCCTTAAAAAAGGATTTCCCTTGGCCAAGCTGCCCACTGGTTCTCAGTAGGTGAGAGAGGTCTTAGTGCTACTAGAGTGTAGGATACAAAGATTTCCTTGACTCTTGGCAAAGTGACTCAGATTTAGTGCACCAGGATTATAGGAATATGAGGCACAAAGTCAATTGAATGAGAGGGCCTTGCCCCCTGAAATTTCTTCTTTCTTCTTTGTGCACTTTTAACTTCATTTTATTCTATTTTTATGACAATTGTATTGCTACAGTACTTAGGGAAGAACATTAGTGCTTTCTTCTCCCTTTCTCACATTCCCAGGTCTTCTACCCACACAGAATTTAGCATGGTAGAGCTTCCTTGGGTTGTTACCATTTGCCCCTATATATACACATAGAACTGAGTAGCTAAAGCAGGAAAGGGGAAGCGTATGTGTATTTTAAGATTTGACAATAATAAGTTTACACTTCTGGGTGGGGGTGCAGACACACAAATAAGATAATTTCAGATATAGTAAGTGCTACATGAACAAGAAAATAAAACAATGGTATAGACAGTGATTGGGATGTGTGTGTAGCTAATTCAGTAGACTTCTGGTAGGACCTCAGAAATGCCCAGACCATGGTCTTAAATTCGGTAAGTGTATTAGTGCATTCCCATGCTGCTATAAAGAACTGCCTGAGGGCGGGGCGCGGTGGCTCACGCTTGTAATCCCAGCACTTTGGGAGGCCGAGGCGGGCGGATCACGAGGTCAGGAGATCGAGACCATCCTGGCTAACACGGTGAAACCCCGTCTCTACTAAAAATACAAAAAAATTAGCCGGGCGTGATGGCGGGCGCCTGTAGTCCCAGCTACTCGGGAGGCTGAGGCAGGAGAATGGCGTGAACCCGGGAGGCGGAGCTTGCAGTGAGCCGAGATTGCGCCACTGCACTCCCGCCTGGGCCACAGAGCGAGACTCCGTCTCAAAAAAAAAAAAAAAAAAAAAAAAAAGAACTGCCTGAGATTGGGAATTTATAAAGGAAAGAGGTTTAATTGACTCACAGTTCTGCAGGGCTGCAGAGGCCTCAGGAAACTTAACAAAAATGGCCAAAAGGGAAGCAAACACATCCTTCTTTACATGGCAGCAGGAGAGAGAAATGAGTCCCCAGTGAAGGGGAAAGCCCCTTATAAAACCATCAGATCTCATGAGAACTCACTATCACAAGAACAGGATGAGGCAAATTGCCCCCGTGATTCAATTATCTCCACCTGGCCCCTTCCATGACACATGGGGATTATGAGAACTAACTACAATTCAAGATGAGATTTGGGTGGGGACACAGCCAAACCGTATCAGTGAGTTTAAGGACAATAAGAAGGCCAGTGGGGCTGGAGTATAACTTGCCTCAGACCCACAGTTACAAAACAACTCAGTACATTCCCCTTTACCAGGGATCAACATCCCTTTTGCTTATTGGACTTTAATAAACCAGGTCTAATTAATTTCAGATTAACTTTCACATTATATCTTGTAGCCTTAATGCTTTTTGAAGGAGGAGTGAGTTTCAAGTGGCTTTTAAGAGGACTATACCACTTAATATAGAAATGAGAAGAAGTACAGCAGTGATACACTAAAAAAAAAAAAAAAAAATCCTTGGCATCCTAGACATGCAAAGTAATTCAAAGAACTGAAAAGACTAATGATAAAAATGAGAAAAAAGTGTACAAGATTCAAGATTATGATTATAGTCTTAATCATTATAGTTTATAATTCTGTGTATCACAATGGAGATAGTAACCACTTTTCTCTAACATATTCCTGGAAATAGTGTCATGCAGTGGATCAGTTTTTTATCTAGAAATGTTCTCATTTGAGATTTAACATTAACTGAATATATGACAGACATAATCAAACATATATCAGAAAAGTTATTATGTTATGCACTCCTGTATTCATTTAAAATGAAATAGGATGGGCATGGTGGCTCACACCTGTAATCCGAGTGCTTTGGGAGGCTGAAGTAGGCAGAGGACCTGAAGCCAGGCATTCGAGACCAGCCTGGGAAACATAGTGAGACCCTGTCTCTACAAAAAATTTTAAAAAAACAGCTGTGTGTGTTGGCATACACCTGTAGTCCCAGCTACTTGGGAGGCTGAGATGGTAGGATCCTTGAGCCTAGGAGTTCAAGGTTGCAGTGAGCTATGATCGCGTCACTGCACTCCAGCCTGGGTCACAGAGCAAGATCCTGTCTCTGAAAACCTTAATAGATAAAATAAAATATTTATGCAAAATCTTCATAATGTTTATGAAGTTACAGAATAGCTTGTCTATATGAGGAATAAAATATGTATATATATATATGTTCACTTATTCCACAAAACTTTATTGAACACAATTATATGCTGAACACTGTACTAATTTTATATATTTTATTTATATTAATCTCCACAAAATGCTTTTGAGGTAGATACTACTATTACCAGGCTTTTTTCAGATAATAAAAGAAATGCACAGCTAAAAATATCAGGGTGGGGATTTAAATTCAGGGTGTCTGAATCCAGAACCTACTCTGTTCATTACCAGGCTATATATTTCCTCATTATATAATATTAGTTTCTGATGTCAAAGTGCTCAAATTAATGTAGAAGGCAGACAAAAATGACAGTATCTTATTAAAAATATATTTTATAGGGTGCTACAGAGGCATTTGGAGGGAGTACTTAGTTCAGAGGGGGATTTTTCAGAAAGACTTCCTGAAGGAGGTACACAGAAATGAGATTTGAATAGTGAGTGGAAGTTTGCCATCAGAAGATTAGGTAGCAAGGATATTTTAGGCAAGAAGAGCAAAATATCTATTGCAAAAGTATGAACCTAAAAGAAAAGGATTGGAGTACTGGAAAGTTTTAGGAGGAAAATGAGGGGAGACAAAGAAGTTCATATTATGGAAAGTTTTATAAATCCTAGCATGCAATTTTAAAAGGTTTGTGGCATTAAAGGATCTCAATTGGTGGAGTTAATAACAAATATGTTTTGACAGCAACATGGGAAATAAAATAAGGGAGAGAAACTGTAGGTACATGGAAAATAATGATCAACTGAGTTAACATATTGGCAACTGGAAGAAGTGGGTGAAGATTCAACAGCTGTTAGGAGGAAGACTCTCTCTGACTTAGAGGTTAAATTGATAGATAATCCACAACAGAAAAAGGATGTAGGATTGAAGAAGAGATTTTTAAGAGAAACTAACTGTCACATACTTATGTGTAAAAATTCAAGTAGTGTTAAAAGTGCTCTTCTGTGGAATCTGTCACACCTGAGCTCAGAAGATGACTCTACAATTCTCAAATTGTATGATTATATGCAAGATACTTAAGTTTCCAAGGCTGAGCTTCTTTATTCATTCTTCCTTAATGTCTTACAGTCAGTCTCCATGTGCTATAACTTCTATTTATTAAAAATAGCTGGAATCTGTATCTTTTAGTTTTCCTAGGCTTTTATCGTATCTTGCTTTAATTATTGCAGAATTCTCTTAATTGGTCTTCTTGCCTCCAATATCTTCTCCTTCTAGTACATCTTCCACATGACAGCCAGAATAATCTTTCAAAACAAAGAAGGGAAATATATTTTTCTTTAAAGAGCTCCAGCTTTAGTGAGATACTGAATAAAGGGGAACAAGAGTGGATCAAGGAGACTAGGCGGCCTTATTGTGTAGTCTAGAATTGATTTGATGTTTCAGATGTGATTAGAAAGGCAGCCTCAGAGTTGCACAAATGTGGATTTGGAAGAGACAGTTGTGGTGATAGGGGAAGAAAGGGATGTGTAAAGGAAGGCTCCTTAATTTATAATGTGTGTTACTAAGTAGAAATGGATCAAAGATGGGGAGAAAGTTGTGTTTATTCTTGGACAAATTGAGAGTGAAATGATTTTGAGATATGCAAATGGATACACAGAAGAAGCAATTGAACCTGAGTCTGAGATCTGTACATACCAATGTCATGAGTATACAGGAACCTATGAATTTACAGACATAGATAAAATTGTCAAATAATGATGATGGAATGGAAATGTCAGCAGATGTATGACATCACAAATGCCAACATTTCATGGTAAGTAGAAAAGGAAGAACCGGCAAAGGACACAAGATGCAACCAGAAAAGTAGAAAGGAAGCAAGGAGGATACAGTGTCACAGGAGCTGCCACAAACATTGTTTCTGGAAGGATATAGTGGTCCACAACTTTGAATGATGCTGAACAAAATGAAGTCTGAAAAGCCCACTGGATTTAGCAATATGATTCTTACTCAGGACATTAGTACATGGCTTTCTCAGGGAGTAATGGGTATGAAAGTGAAGAGTAAGTTGAAGAGTAAGTGTGAAATGAGGAAAAGGAGAAAGTAAGTAAAAACAACTTAAAAGAAGTTGGGCTGTGGGAGAAGGGGAGAGAGAGAAAGTGATTTTGCTCTCAAGGAACACAGGAATAGCCAGAGTAATCTTTCAAAACAATGAAAGGAAATGTATTTTTCCTTGTTATGAGGAAAGAATGCATTTAGTTGTGATGTCTATCAGTGCACAGAGGAGGCTTATTGGACTGAGGGAAAAGCAAACCTGAACACCCGGATACTCTCATCAAAATATCCTTCTGTATTGTGAACCAAGTGTTAAAATAGAAGCTTTACAACAAAAAATAATGACTACATATAGAGCTCCCTCTTGCCCAGTCTATTTACACACCATTGCCCACCCTGGTAACAGGAACCTGGGAAATACTGGTTACTTGGTAGATGACTGTTTTTGTTGCACAATAAGACAGAATGGTAAAACAAGCAACAGCCTATCTTAATTTAAATTTTCGATATTTTGCTCATCATGCATTTTTGTGTATTCTAAAATATTACATTAAAATGGCATTTATATTGATTACTAAATTTATTGGCATCCCCTTATATTTTGCACCTGAATTGTATGCCACACTTACCTCAATTTAATGCTGGTCCTAATCAAAAAGCAAGGAAATCTGACTGACAATTATGATTAATAGTGAAGATAATGGGATTAGAACTATTCATGATAATTTAGGAAGTATGTTAACTGCAGAGGGTTCTTAGAAAAAGCTGTAAATAATGACGTAGATAACAAGAAAGCATACATTAAAGGAGCATTCATTTATTCATTCAAGCAGAAAATATGTTAAATATTCAAAACACTGACTTGAATTTGAAAATCTCCATATTTACTTACATGACGCAATTCCTTTTTTAAAGAGTCTTGTGGTCTAATTGAATGTATTTTGCTACCACACTTCTTAGGTAAGAAATTATATTTACATGAGTTGAGAAACCTCAAGCTGTAACATAGTGTTAAGTGAGAAAAGGGGCTGATTTTTAATATGAATTAATTAGCACTTAGAGTAAGTTTAGATGATAATTCAATGTGATTTTATCATTAATTTTGAGTCATGTCAATAAAATGCCATCTTTTGACAGAGATAAATGTTTTGTGGTTTCCTCAGTATTCAAAAACACACCAATTGTACATAAACTTTTTTCTTTTTTTTCTTCTCTCTCGCTCTTTTTTTTTTTTTTTTTTTTTTGAGACAGTCTTGCTCCAGTGGCGTGATCTTGGCTCACTGAAACCTCCCCTTCCTGGGTTCAAGTGATTCTTGTGCCTCACCTTCCGAGTAGCTGGGATTACAGGTATGCACCACCCTGCCCAGCTAATTTTTTTTTTTTCGTAGAGATGGGGTTTCACCATTTTGTCCAGGCTGGTCTTGAACTCCTGACCTCAGGGGATCTGCCTGCCTTGAGTTCCCAAATTGCTGGGATGACAGGCTTGAGCCATCACACCTGGCTCATAAACATTTTTTCTTAGCATTTCATTTTGAATGTCTTGAAGGCTCAAAATAGCAAGCATTTTTGCTGGGGTCCTTTTCACAGTATTTTCAACAACTTATTTTCATTTTATTTATCTTTAGTATGTCAGTAGAATAATGTTTGGTGTTTAACAAGCATAATATAAAACAAAGTTGGATTAATGGATTTGTTCCTTTGTAGTTCTCATTCTGAGCTAATACTCTACCTAGGTGCAAAATATTTGTAGAAAAAATTATGTACTTTAAGAACAGATGCTCCTTTCATTAGCAATTCTATAAGTTTATAAATCTAGACTATTCAAGATTATTTGGGCATATGCCTTCTTTATAGTTTTTTAAAATTTTTATTTATTTATAATTGAGATAATTGACACACATATTTATACATATTACTTAAAATTAAAATGTTACTCAACATCTCCATGAGAAAATCTTTAATTCCTTGCTGTATCTGACATTGTATTTTCAAAGCAATATGGTTTTGGTTGGCCCAGCATATGGCCTTCCATTTGCGGGCAATTAAGGGGGGTCAATAAATAATGTTCATATCTTCTCCTCTTGTGTTCAAAACCAGTTGAGAGATAGGCACAGCAGTTGGGCAGATGGAGATAAATATTTTAATTTTTGTCTTTTCCTGATAAATTCTTATTAGAAAATTCTCAATAGAAAATGTGAAAATGGATCATAGTACACTAAAATTAGGCAGACTTATTCACCCACTCAGAGGTTGCACTGGTCAATCACAAATCTCTCCTGAGGGTTCTTGCCACATAACATTTGTGTCATGAAGAACAGTCCATTTTCTTCTTCAAGTCATCTATTAGGAAATTTATGATTCCCCTGGAAGGGAATGAATGGAAATACACAGACTACAAGAGTTACTTTAAAAGAGTTGTTCTGAAGGTGTGGGTGGAGGATCCCTGCAGCCTCCCCAGAAACATTTTTGGGCTCTGCGAGGCCCTCTTTTTTCTGACCACTTACCTGTATGAGTCTGGATCCTCATTCTGTACTTCAATCAAAACAATACAGTACATCCCAGTGAAGGAGAAACATTTGAAGATCCTGCTGTCTTTTATTAAGTCAAACATGAAAGAGATTTGTGGAAATTACAATAGGGCATCTCATTTTGCTAATTTTTGTAAGAACAACATAGTTATTTTTCATAAAATGATATCATTTATAGTAACATATAATCAGAATATTTTTCATAAATGATATTTATGATAGCATGTAATAAGTATATTATTTTTACTTTAAATGAATTAATAGGTGTATTAGGGCTCTCTAAAGGGACAGAACTAATAGGATAGACGTATATATGAGGGGCAGTTTATTAGGAGAATCAGCTCACAGGATTACAACATGAAATCCCACACTAGGCTGTCTGCAAGCTGAGGAGCCAGGAAGCCAGGCCGAGGACCCAAACCTCAAAAGTAGGGAAGCCAATAGTGCAGCCTTCAGTCTGTGGCTGAAGGCTGGAGAGCCCCCTGGGAAATCACTGGTGTAAGTCCAAGAGTCCAAAAGCTGAAGAACATGGAGTCCGATGTTTGGGAGCAGGAAGCATCCAACATGGGAGAAAGATGGAGGCCAGAGACTTAGCCAGTCAAGGCTTTCAGCATTACTCTGCCTGCTTTTATCCTAACCTCAATGGGGCAGTTGACTACTTGGTGTCCACCCAGATTGAGGGGGGTCTGCCTCTCCCAGTCCACTGACTCAAATGTTACTCTCTTTTGGCAACACCCTCACAGACACACCCAAGAACAGTACTTTGCATCCATCAGTCCAATCAAGTTGACATTCAATATTAACCATCAAAATAGGTAAACATTTTTAAAATTTCTCAGCTCCTTATACAGTAGATATAACTCATATAAACAAAAGCTCTTTGTTGTCCTCAGAAACATGTAAAAGTGTAAAGATGTCCTGTGATAAAGTTTGAGTCTGGGCACAGTGGCTCATGCCTGTAATCCCAACACCTTGAGAGGTCAAAGAAGGAGGATGGCTTGAACACAGGAGTTTGAGACCAGCCTGGGAAACATGACAAAACCCCATCTCTACAAAAACATAGAAAAATTAGCAGAATATGGTTGTACACGCCTGTAGTCTCAGCTACTCAGCAGGCTAAGGTAGGAGGATCACTGCAGCCCAGGAGGTTGTGGCTGCGCTGAGCTGAGATAGTGCCACTGCACTTCATCCTAGGCAACAGAACGAAACCCTGTCTCAAAAAAAAAAAAAGAAAGAAAGAAAGAAAGTTTGGGAACCATTGCTCTAATAGAAGCTCCTTTGCATGAAAACATGAGAAATAGGTAATAATTATTTCTCACTTTGTTCTTTTTATTCTCAGCTCAAAGTATTGGACAGGATATTTGCTTCATTGCAGACTATTGTTTTAGATGCAGCTAATACTGAGCTAAAGTACAAGCATTCACCAAACATTTTTTTGAACAGAACTTGGCAGTCTTCAATGATAGTAGATTGTACGTATCTGGGGTAAACTTTATTTAAATCTTACTTGCTGACTTGCTTTTCAACCCTGTTTCACTGGCTTAAATGGAAGGACATTATGGAAACAGCCTTGGGAAACTTTTGCTTCTTCAACAATTTTCATACAAAATGTAATTAAAGATTTTTTAAACTAATATAGTGGCATCTTTGGAACGATTCAGGAGATATATCTTTCAGATATCAACAACAAAGATCATTGTGCTTACTTTAATCTACTGGGTTCTTTACTCATTGTAAAGATTGTCAGTCTAATTCCTATCATCATTCACTCTTATTTGCTGGCTGCTAGTAAGTTTCAGCCCAATTTACAGTCCTCTAGTAAATTTACTGCTTGGTGCTTGGTATTAGCATGTTATTGTGTGCTACCCTAATCATGGACCTCAGTTTAGCTTCTCATCTCTCATTTTGTTTTTGTTCTTTGTTCAGATTTATTTCTACTTACCTTCCCTCTTATTTTTCTTGCTTTCGTATCTTTAAGCCATCTGAAATCTTTTCTAGAAACTAGGAGATTTTCAAGAAATTGTTTAAAAGAACAATTTGAGTGAATCACATAAGCTAAGGAAGTGGTGCTTTTGAACTTATCCTGTATCTATATTATATGTTAGTTATTATTTTCCCCATAGTCAAAAACAAAAGAAGAAAGGAAACTATGTGAATTTGCAAGGCTAATGCTTTTATACTAATTAAATATGGGGACCTCAGGGTTTTTGGATTTTTTTCCCCATAATTACTCTAGTATGCCTCTGTCACAGAGTGCTGCCACTTTTTCATTTGGAATTTTTACGGATCAGTGATATAAATGCAAGTATAAATGAAAAGACTTAAAACATCCAAATCCCTATCTTGATTCATTTAACGAAAATATTCTCCCATATTGGCCTTTTTTTCTCCCTGTTCACAAAAGGTATTTATTTCTTTATTGGAAAACTCGTTACATATGCTTGTGCAATGTCAATTAGCGATGGTGTAACAAGAATTTTATGTTTGAGCTACAATGAATTTCTGAGGAAATCTGTTGTTTTCAAGGCTGAGGCTGCAATTGGAGAAGATCCAAATCATTACCTAAATTTACATTCTATTGTTATGCATGAATCTTTTTACAACTTCCTATAGGGTATTTAGAAATAAACAAAAGTTTGGTTTGTTTTCTTTTCTCCTTGCTTCTATTGTGCTAATATCATTTTATATAGCTAGCATTTGGGGGTAAAATCTAAATTAGAAAAAAAAAACACAGAAGAATTACATCTCAAAAGAAACTCTCTACTTCATAAGAAATTGGCTGGTGGAAATCAAAGCTACCTTGTGGCTCTTTGCTTTTACAACAGAAACCAAAACCAAAAGTAATACAATAAAATCTATGTTTTGTTATAAGAGTCTGTTTGCATTACTTTGGGAATTGGTTTAGCCAGTTATGTCTCCATATTTTTGTATTTAAAATCCACTTCTTAAAGATTACTGTTAATTTTACATTAACAAATCAAGCAATTGTGAAAATACCACAAAATACTGCTCTCCAATGCCGTGTCCCCAAGGAAATGGCCTCTGAGATTGAGATTCCTGTGTGGGAGGGTTAGCAGGGAGGATGCATCACAAAAACACCTATAAAGGAGTGAAGGAAGGAGGATTGGACAGAAGGAGAATGTGACTGAGATGCAGGCACAACCAGAGGCTTCAGCTGATAAAACAGGGAGCCTTAGATCTAGAATACACCCCCAGAGGTGTTCCAAACCATCTCAAGTTGAGGCAAGAGCTAGGTCTTTGTAAGCCTATATGGTCCGGTCATTAGATGAGGCCTGACTTGTGGAGGGGAACATAACCCTTGCCAAAGCAGCTCCTTTCATCTGAAAGCAATTTTGTGGGAGGAACTCAGCTGTGAATGATGTTCTATCAGAAGGCAACAGTCCTGGTAGTTGGGGTGGTGGTCTGCGTCCTGAAGGGGAGATCTGAGCAGTATATGGTAGCATCCTTGAGCTGCTGGGATCCACTTTGTATAAGGTCACTCCGTGTAGGAATAGTACCTTCAGGTTTCTAGTTTGTCTCTTTTCCTTGTGATATTTGCAAGAGGTAGATTACTGGCATAATTGCCCAACAGGTTCTTTCTGCCCACTGCGCAGGAAACAAAAAAATTCGCTGAGACTATGGTATTGCAGAAATGAAAGAGTTTAATTAACACAAGGCCAGCCACCTGGTAGATGTAGTTAGTACTCAAATCAGTCTTCCCAAAAGCTCAGAGGTTAGGGTTTTTCAAGGATAGTTTGGTGGGTGCTGCTGATTGGTTGGGGATGCAGTCATGGGTGTGGAGAACAGTCTTCCTGCCCTGAGTCCACCACTGGGTGGGGGGCTACTGAACTGGTTGAGTCATGAGTCATGAGTTCAGGTAGGGTCAGTCAGTTACCAGAAGTCTGAAAAATATCTCAAAAGATGAATCTTAGTTTCGATAATAGTGATGTTATCTATAGAAGCAACTGGGGAAGTCACGAATCTTGTGACCTCTGGCCACATGACTCCTGAGCAGTAAGGGATTAAAGAAACTACACCTACACTTTGGCAGATTTCCAGGCCCTCCTATAATCCTAATCTTGTGGCCTTTCATTAGTGTTACAAAAGCAATTTCAGCCCTCTAACAAGGATGGAATCAGTGATAAGGAGGGATTATCATTGTTCTTGCTTCAAAGTTAAACTATGAATTAAATTCCTCCCATGGTTAGCTTGGCTTATACCCAGGAATGGCCAAACACAGCCCGCCTGTGAGGCTAGAAGTAAGGTGGAGTCAGCTGTTTAGTTTCTCTCACTGGCAGCATCTTTGCAAATGCAGTTTCAGTAGGATGAATTTTAGCCCCCACTGCTGTGGTTATTCTTAAGACTACACTGATATTTATATTTTCTCTCCTATGTTAACCATTCTTGATTCTCTTGCCATTATCTCTGTTGATCTAGGTGGCTTATCTAGTGTGGTATAAACAACAACAACAAAAAAATTCTAAGCCTCCCAGTGGCTAAATAGACCCCCTCTTGGCCAAGGTAGACCACAAAGAAACCTTATAAACTGAGTTCCCAGTCATGATGGGAAATGAGGTCAGACACATCTCATTATATGCTCTACCTTTTGGAGTTTAGGCATAACAACTGATCATCATTAATGTTAAAATAGAGATCATAAAACTGACAAAACAGGAAATTTGTGACAACAAGCTACCAAATTATAAATAAGTCGTAAGGCCAGGCAAGGGTAGGGTTAAAATCTTGCCTGCAGGCCACAAATCTTGTTACATAACATCCTTATCTTGACTTAAAACATTCCTTTCTGCTGACACCAAGTTTTAGACAGAATCTTATTCCTTTAACCAATAGCAAATTAAAGAATCTCTGAATCCACCTATAACCTGTAGGCCCCTGCTTCAAGGTATCTTGCCTTTTCAGGGCAAACCAATACATACCTCATCCATGCATTGATCTAGGTCTTCGTCTGTAATTCCTGCCTCCCTGAAATGTACAAAACCAAACTTTTATCCAACTGCCTCGGGCAGACTTTCTCAGGGCTCCTTCAGACTCTTGTTTTTCTGAGCTGTGGTCATCACACTGGCTTAGAATAAACCTCTTTAAAATATTTTACAAAGTTTGGTTTTTCCATTAACAGGGGTGACATGGTTTGGCTGAGCCCCAACCCAAATCTTATCTTGAATTGTAATCCCCATATTCCCCACGTGTCATGGGACAGAAGGTTTCCCCCATGCTTTTGTGATAGTGAATTTTCATGAGATCTGATAATTTTATAAGCCTCTGGCATTTCCCCTGCTTGCACTTACTCTCTCTCCTGCCACCCAATCTGCCATGATTGTAATTTTCCTGAGGCCTCCCCAGCCATGCAGAACTGTGTGTCAATTAGACCTCTTTCCTTTATAAATTACCCAGTCTTGGTATTTCTCTATAGCAGCGTGAGAACAAACTAATACAAGGGGTAGCCCAGATCCTCTTCTCCAGATGTGTTCATTTCTAATAACCATGCCTTTATCAGGCCACGGCTGCTGTATTTGTCCATTCTCTATCATAATTGGGCAGAGAAGTTCTAAGAGGCATGACAGTGAATCACTTAAATGACAAACATTTTCTTACTTGCCTCTACTGCATAGCAGAAACCCTCCCTCCTCCTAAACGACAGAGTAATTATACCTGTGAGAACAGTACCTCAGTTCCTTGCTTCCTGGTAGTCTCTGCACAAGGAATCCAAGGTGACCAAGTTGTGGCAACAGGTTAGAATTTAATGGGATATTTTCTATGTTCTCTGGTCATCCGAACTAGGACATCTAAACCTGCAAAGGCTAGAATTGTAGGTGAGAAGAGCACACATTCACCAAGTACTTCATTGAGATTGACAGTAAACAAAGCCATCCAACTTCCTTCCCTTGGTTTCCAGACCCAGACACAAGTGTTCTACATACTGGGACACAGACCATAAAATGGTTGTTGATTTGGTGTGCATACTACATCCTGAAGGATGATGCCCCATCCTTGCAGGGTATAATCTCCAAGCTGGCACCTCAGCTGTGCCGTCAGAGGCTTTTCCATCACTCTGTCAGGCTGACAATTTACTGGAGGTACAGTATGTGATAGGACCAGTCAGGTATCCACAACTTCACTCCATTTGCTCTAAAGTGTGTTCTTTAGTCTGATAGGATTGATATGATGATATATATAATTTTATTTGGCCAGGCATGGTGGCTCATGCCTGTAATCCCAGCCCTTTGGGAGGCTAAGGCAGGCGGATTACCTAAGGTCAGGAGTTTGAGACCAGCCTGGCCAACATGGTGAAACCTTGTCTCTACTTAAAAAAAAAAAAAAAAATTTATTTATGCACTCTCTAAACCTGGAATACTGGTGCTAACTGAGGTCCTAAATACAGGAAAGAGTTCAAAGTAATCAAGTTAACCCTAAGTAACTAGTTGATTTCCCAAAAGTATGGTTTCATACTGGGGGCTCACCACTGGTTTCCATTGCTGGTAAATTGGACATTTGGCAGCAGCTAAAGCTAAATCACCCTTGGTGAAAGGAAGCACAGGACATAAGCCTCATTCATAGCCTTCATTCCTGCCACCACGGCCACACATTTCATAAGCCTGTTGTGCCAGCACTGAGGTTAATTACAGAGGCTGGTTGATGTCAATTGGCTGAATCATTTTTTAACATTCATTTGGTAGTGCTTATTCTCATGTGGGCACTCTCTGAAAGGCTTTAGTATGTTATAGAAAATACTTTGGGTCCACTCCCAGAGCCCTCCATGTGTCCCTTCCTCTGACCTGTCTGTCCCTCATTTCCAAATCTTTCTCCTTCCAGACAAGTTATCCTCAAATTGCCATTGGTCCATATATTCTAATCTTGGGCAATTTATTTATTTATTTATTTATTTATGCAAAGGAAATGACCAGGTGTACCATCCAAATATGTGCCTGTTGGGAATATTTTCCTTCACTGATGTCTTTTTGGCCCTCCCCCGAGTAGAGCTATACTGTAGCTGTTGTTAATTTTCAGTATACAGACCTATATTATGTGAATGTATACTTTAAAAGGCTCACTTCTTTCTGTCATTTGATCTTAAGAGACCTCCCATGTGGTGATAGAAGTTAGCCAAGAGAGGTGGGTGCCAGTGTGACAATAGTAGGGACATGGGATTCTGGGCCAGCTACTCATGCAACTTACTTGTGCCTTTGGGCCCTATTCATGCTGAACATAAATGCAGCATTTCCATTCTGCAAGGTATGGCTGCTGGGCTAGCCTGACCTTACAATTTGGTGGGTCTGACAATATCCAGCTCATGATGGGCAGTTCTGGCAACATACACACTTGATGTCCCATGGCTAAGTGTTCATCTTAGGGTACAGAAGAAAACCAGGGACTCTTTTTGCACGGTATATCATTCTTTTCTATAGATGACATGGCCTTGCTTCGGAAACACCACTTTCTGAATACTTGTTAGATATTTACATTGTAATTCTTTTGCTGGGACTTTGTATAACTTTTATATGGCATCTTTTCCCATCATGGATGCAGCTAAAATCATAGATGCTGCTGTTTCTGTCATATGGACCAATTTGCAAGGGTGCTCACACTCTTGCCTGGATCTACCACCAAGAACTTTCCTGGTTTGGGACCCATCCACAGCTGGCAGCCTGTAATGTCATTTGGTAACAGGACTAGGAAAAAAATTCCCACATAAAGAAAATGCTGCTTCCAGAACCCAAAGAGGTCTACCAGGCATTGTGATTCCTTCTTATTGGTGATAAATGCAAGATGGCATAATTTTTTTTTCCTTTGAAAGTGACATCTCAGAATCTCCCAGACTACTGAACTCCTAAAAACTTCTTTGGTGTGGCAGCCCCCTGATTCTCCATAGGAGGTGAGTCCTGAGTCCATGTCCTCTTATTTGTACTCATTTTAGTCAACCTATCCACATTATCTAACAATCACTTCCCTTCTTGAAAACATTTTTCACTTGTTGTCTGTGAAACTCTTCCCTAGTCTCCTAGTTACTGTTCATTCCTTACCACTCTCATTTGTCTACTCCTCCTCATATACCTGACCTCTAATCATTGCAAAGACCAGGGCTCTTCTCTCAAAACTCTTTTCTATCTCTTCTTTATTCCCAGATGATCTCCAAATGCAAGAATTTAAACATCATCACTAATCTGTTAATTCACACATTAAAAAAAAATTTTTTTGGCAATTCTCCCCTAAATTTCAACCTTAAACATCCAATTGCCTATTCAATATTTCCATCTGAATATTTAAAAGACACCTCAAATTCTAAATATTCAAAACACAACTCTTAATTCCTTTCCTCTCTGTTTCCACCTTCTCGGGGGGAAAAAACCTCTCCTTTTCCGTAAGTCTATCCCATCTGCACAAAAAGCATCTTTTTTTTCCAGTTGCTGAAAAATCTTTGAGTTATCCTTGAACCCTCTTTTCTTTCACATTCCACATCTAATCCATTACAAATTTATTTCAATTCTTACTTTGAATCCTATCTGATATATGAATCTGTTTCCCCACATTGACCATTAACATCCTGGCCAAATCACCATCACTTCTTGTCTGGATTGTTGTAAAACTTCCTAATTGATCGCATCTCTTTCTTTCCCTTTGCAGTCCATTACGCATGCCAAAGCCAGAGTGAGCCTTTTACAATATGAGCCAGATCATGTTCCTTTTCAGATCAATTCTTAAATGGTTTTTTTTGTATTTGGATCAGGCCTTACGTGACTTGGTGTCTTACTGTTTCTCTGAGCTCATCTCCAAACACTCCCCTCCTCATTCACTCTGCTCTAGCTGTGGAATTTTTTGCACACGGCAAGTCCGCTTCCACTGAAGGCTCTTTACAGCTGCTGCAGCTCTGTCTGAAATGTTTTCCCTTAAAACTTTTGAAGCCTTTTTAAATGTTCATTTATAAGACCTGCCTTTCCCAGCCCCTTATGTAAAATAACACTCCATCACTTTTTATCTTCCTTATCCTAATTTATTTCTCTTGCTAATGTTTATTGCCACTTACGTACATTTATTTATTTTCCTCCTTCCTTTGTTTCTTATTTCTTATTTGTTTTTTGTTTCTCACTTCTAGAATGTAAAATCTATAAAAGAACAGATTTTGTGTATTCTGTTTACTATAGAATTATTGTGCCAAAACCAGTACCTAGCATATAAGAAGTTAATACACATTTGTTGAATACATGAATAAAAATTATTCTGTGATTCTTAAAATAGTGAACTAAACTTAAACTTTCTATCAGGCATAGAAATAAAATGTTCAAAATTTTATGTAGGTATATTTTTATTGTTATGTCTTTTTATTTTAGAGTACTTTACATATTTGGATTTTATTATTTCTTATATTTTAAGTATCAAGAAAAGAATTAGATAAGGGCATTAAGTATTATGCCTCACAGATTGTTTGTTTGTTTTGCTATGTAATCCTCTATGTATGTAGCAAATAAATACGATATCAAACTTGTACCTAATTATGACAAGAAGCTTTTCTAAATAACTGGGATTTTGGACTAGGGAATTTCGTCATTGCTGATATTTTCAAAACACATTTCCCACAGAACAAGTAGGTATGTATAATATATTTGCAAGGATCACCTATACTACTTAACTGGTGCTTCCCTGGACTAGGGAGAGAACAAAGGAAAACAGTAAAGAAACTGATAAAGTGTTAGCTTTCTTTTTAGTAGAAGAAAAGATGGAGAAAATAATGAACTATACATATGTCTTAATTAAAATTAAGAAAGCAGAAATATAGATGAGAAGTAAAAATAAAGAATAACAGATTCATTAAAAATCATTAAGCTTGGAACACTAAGCTCTTACTATGTGGCACAAACTTGTGAAATGGTTTACATAGTATTTTCTTATTTAATCCTCATGATACCTCCATGAGCTAGATTCTGTTACCCTCTCCCATTTCGAAGATGGGTTCTCTAAGAGAAGACAGTGACTAAACCAAGGACAGATAAATGTTGAAGTCAGGATTACAAACTAGGTTTTCTGACTCCAGAATCATGTTTTTTACTGCTGAGCTAGAGTTTACAGCATAATTCTGACAGAAGACTGCAAGCAGCAGTTGTCATCTACTAAATATCATGTTACCTCGAAGATCCGAGGTAACCTATTTATCCTTAATTGTTCATTCTCTAGCTAAGGTCTTACTAGTGAAGTTAGGTCCTTACCTGTGATCTAACTGCAGCACTGCTTTGAAATTAATGATAAAGGACACCACCCTTGATTTTAAAGAAAAGAGAGCTGGAAGTTATTTTATTTTCAATACTCTGTAACACAGTAGTCCCTCCGTATCTGTGGGGGACTGGTTCCAGGACCCTCCTTCTCCCACAGTTACCCAAATTCAGAGATGCTCAAGTCCGTCATATAAAATGGTGTAATATTTACATATAATCTATGCACATCCTCTCATATTCTTTAAGTCATCTCTAGATTATTCCAAATGCCTAATAGGATGTAAATGCTATGCAAATAGCTGTTATACTGGGTTACTTAGAGAATAATTACAAGGAAAAAAGTCTGTACATGTTCAGTCCAGACATAACCATCCTTTTTTCTGAATATTTCTTGATCTGTGGTTGGTTGAATCCACAGATGTGGAACCTACAAATATAGAGGCTTGAATGTGTGTTTAAAACTGTTGTTATTCTAGCTAATGATGTAGTAAAATAGTTTTAAACAAATGCTTGTGCGAAAGTCCAGAATGTTACAGCTCAGACTGGTTAAGGGAACTATTCAGACTGAAGAGAAAAACAGCCAAATCCTGAAGTCAGAAACAGGTGGATAATGAAGCACCACTGTAATCTGTTCTTACATTTCCATTTAGGCATTTATTTTTTAACTTGGGCAGGGAAGATGAGACAGAATTCAAAAAGCACTTGGAGAGTTTCTTCAATGAGCAAAGAGTAGCACTGAATGCTTTGGGTAATACAAGGAGGTAAGATTTGATACTTGGCCCTCAGATATCTTATTCCATAATGTTAACCTTTGACCAATCTAACCTTACAAACATACACAGATTTGAGCAGTCACCTTAAAAAAGAAAGTATGTTGTGTGGCACAGGCAGCTCCAATCATTTACTCTGACATGTCTTGATGTATAGCATAGACATTTTTTTGTTGTTCTTAGTTTAATAGTTTCAGGCATAAAGCATTAGCCACATGAGGTCACTGTTGTTCATGCATGAATTATAACTATAATATAGTTATAAGCATAAATCTTGATTCTCCTGGTTGAGTTGTCTTACGATCCATGCGATGAATATGTAACATGTATGTGGAGGAGTGGAGACAAGGTATTCCATCGGGCATACTTGAGGAATTAAGAATTCATTTAACCTAGATACACTCCTTTAACATTTTAGGATGTATTTTATGGCTAAATCAGCAATTGCTTTTAATAAATCCAGAATTAAAATTTTTAAACTATTTCAATTACAGGAAAAAAAAATCTAATAATGTATACAAAAGATAACTTTGTCCTTAGAGTAATTCTGAAATTATCCACATGTGAGACTGAATCATTCAGGCTTCACTGGTGGTTTAATTTAATTTAATCTATATTTTTGGGGAGACAGGGGGCTTCCTATGTTTCCAGGCTGGACTTGAACTCTTGGGCTCAAGTGATCCTCATGCCTCAGTCTCTCAAGTAGCTGTGACTACATTTGCCTACACTGCATCTGGGGTTTCACTGGTGATGCTAAGAAGCATGCTAAGTTTCATAGTCTTATATCTAGTCAATTATCATGGAATATCTTTAGCAATATAAGAAATAAATTATTTACATTTAGATAGCTTTATTTTAAATCCATGGGGTCAGGACACTGTGGAAAAATAAGAGTTGCTGGCATAAACTGCTACTTCTCACAGCCAGAGGTCCCTTTTGAATTAAGGCACTTCGGAGTTATTAAATTAAACAATGGACAAATAAATACTAGGCTTTCCAAACAATGGAATATCCTGGATATAGTGTTTATGAACCAGAGGACATTATAATTGTGTGTGTGTGTGTGTGTGTGTGTGTGTGTGTGTGTCTGTCTGTCTGTCGGTCTGTCTGTGTGTCTGTGTCTGTCTGTCTGTCGGTCTGTCTGTCTGTGTGTGTGTATGGTCTTGTCTTGTGCTCCCACCGTGCCACCAAAACTGGTTTCGTCAAAGTCACTAACAACCTCTATATTAAGTCCAATGGACACTGCTTGGTCTTCTTTTTACTGGATCTCTCAATAACATTGAATAGAACTGACCACTCCCTTTTTCTTGAAATTTTCTCTTCTTCTGCCTTCTATAAGGCCATCCTCTTCTATTTTTTTTTTTTTTTAATTTCAAGCTTTTTAAGCTGTTTCTCTTAGATACTCAACCCCTAAATATTGGCATTCCTTAGTTCTCTCTTGAACCCAGTCTTCATCTCTATCCCCCCAAGTGACCTTATTCATTTTTATTTTTAAAAATACCATCTGTATGCTGATGACTACCTAATTTATATCGGCAGCCCCAGTTCCTTTTCAGCTCCAGACTAGCATATCCAATCTGCCTAGTTAACACTTCCATATGAGTGTCACCCAGACATTGCACCTCAGCACCTAGTACATTCCTGACAAATGGTAGAAGTTTAATGGATCTTTCTTGAGTGGATGAGTTTGCAGGTGTGCATGTACATCATGTCTGTACCAGCTCCTATATGATTTATTTGTATTGAGGTCACACTGGATCACTTGTGTATTAAGACTTTGAGAGGAAATATATGAAATAAAATTATAGCATATGTGGAAGAAGATGTCCCTTATACTCTTTGCTATGTCAGTATTTCTTAAAGATATTTGGTAAATCACATAAAACATGTTATTTTATCATACAACATATGGAAAGTCATAGGAAATGATTATTGAATTTTTTCCTACACTTAGTCACTATTTTACATTTCTGGCCAAATTTTCTAACATCTCTTTCCAACTCTGTTTTCTCAGCTGCCCTCTTAAGCTCTACTGGGAAAGTGTCTTTTATTCCATATACTTTCCAACATTAATGAGAAAAGAATAAATATTGTGATAGCCTCAGTAAGATGATTGCATTCTTATCATAAATATTTCTATTGAATATTGGACATATAATTATTTTTAAGGATTTTTTAAACAACAAACTTGCCAACTTCATTTAGTGGAAACATGACAGATGGGATCTTCATGAAGGTTAGATTATCTAAAGAAAAAAAAATTTATGAATAAGAATATCGTCCAACATTTTAATATTAGTATCTTCTGAGATAAAAGTGATAGCCATGTTAAATAGAATAATGAGACTAAAGGCTAGTGGTTCTTCAGAATGTTTTCAAAGTTAGAGAGGCTGCCCCCCTATTCATTTCTCTTTTTATGATTAGTAGGCTAATTAACTTTGAAAAGCTACTTTTGTTAAACCCTTATTAAGCTAGGATTATGTCTTCTGATTGTCTCTTCTATGGGACCAGAGATAAGTAATGAAAAAAATATACTAACTTCAGATTTTGTTAAAGTTTCTAACCTAGTGAGTTCATTCTGGCTGCTTAATTCCAAGGCTTACTTCAGTCACTGACTTTTCCACTTCTGGTTATTGTAAATTATGAAATGTTGAGATTCTTATCCCTTGCTAGTCCTCCATAAGGCTCGGTTCAAGCCTGTTTCTATTTATAAGCTCTAAACATTAAATTTTCATTGAATGGAACATATGTTTTTAATTTCAGGGCATTTGACTGCATATAAATACTTGGAAGACTGATTGACACTTCTTAAAGTTAAAAATTATATGAACACCATCTTTGACTACTATTTTGAGTTTCTTATAATGTTTAGAATATTACTGAATATAGAGTGAACAATAACATGTAATAAATCTTTTTTGATTTGGAAAACAACTTATTCTTTTCCCCTTTTGGTAACAAATATACTCTTATGAAGAGCAACATTTTTCACCCATCCAACCAGTGTCATAAATGAGAGACTCAACATAGAACCTGAAATCACAAGGAACAGCCATCTTCATGGATATTTTTTTCATTAGTCTGAGAAATTATTGCTAAACTGTTGACAGCCAATTAAAAACATTATGAGATAGCAAACTTAGAGTCTTCAGAAACTATTGAGTATTAAGACTGGCGTATGTAAGTCTGTTTGTGTGCCTGTGTGTGCATGTATTTGTGTGTAGATGCTGGGTATGTAGGTCTGAAATTGCCTGTTTTGATACATATGCATGTCTATTCATTGCAGGTAGGAGAAATAAGCAAATGATTTTCCAACAGAGGTATTTTCTATCCCTATGATTTCTTTCATTATGTAGGTGGTATACATACACCAATGTGAGAAAGTTTAGTGAATAAATGAATGAACAAATTCAAAACTGAGCTTCGAGGCATGGGTTGAACTCCAAGAGATGGAAATGAGGAGTAAGCAGAAGGACCCCTGTGTGATAGTTGTGCTCTTGTTACCTCAGGGGCCTTGGTTTCTCCTCTTTAAAAGAGGAAACATGTAGGATTTGTGAGTATTTGTATCTACCGGGTATTTATAACCTTTTGGGTCTAAGACTTCTAAATATTGAGTGACCATATAATTTATCAAAAATGAAATCCTCTTGAGAGTTAAAGTGGGGCATTATTAATAATTAACCTAGGATAATAGGCATGAAATAACTTTGCTTTGAATACACTGGGATTGATGGCCAAACTCCCATGATAATCTGATGAAAGCTATTAACACTACGTTTGAAGCCCTTGATAATTATCTGTCTATTATTTTGAGGGGTCCTTCTCCTCCAGAACTTGACTATTCAAATTACAAACTATTCCTTTCTTTGCGGCTTTGAAATCAAGCACACAGGTCCTTTGAATTCCACAGATTTTCTTGTTGATTATACAGGGTATACAAAAGTCACACAGCTAATTAAGGTAACAAATGAAGCCCAGTCTCTTGTTCTAAGAGGCTGGATATTCAAGGTGCCTTCTACACCCTTGATTTTTAGCCCAGTAAGCATGGACTTTAGAATCACACAGACATTAATTCAAAGTCTAGTTTATCACGTACCGTGTGCCTTTGGGCAAATTATTACTCTCTTTAAGTCTCAGTTACTCCATCTATAATACAGTGGTATTGAGATGATTAAATTAGATGGGAGTTGTTTAGTGCTTAGGATAATGCTGAACAAATAATATATGTCCATGCGCAGCAATGTTTTATATAATTAATCTCATTAGTTTCCAGCTATTCTCTAACTCATG
The DNA here is from genome assembly GCF_000001405.40 of Homo sapiens. Lineage (NCBI taxonomy): Eukaryota > Metazoa > Chordata > Mammalia > Primates > Hominidae > Homo > Homo sapiens. The sequence goes on from NC_000006.12 coordinate 123,781,835, forward strand.
GCAGCAAAAAACAGGAAATAAAATCTCCAGCCCTGACTTTTTCCCTGCTATCTATACACATATATATCAAGCTCCTTATTTGATATCTAAACTTGGTTGTCTAAAAGACACTACCAACTTATGGAAACAAACAGACCATTTGTAGAAGATAAAGCACAACTTGCTCCTCCAAAAATCTTCCCCATTTCTGGAAAGTGTACCCCTGATGACTCAGGTGATCAGGATAAAAACCTAGGAGTTATTCTTAATCCCTAGAATTGTTACCCTACTCACTTTCTATATGCCATTTGTAAATAAGTCCTGTTGGCTCTAGCTCCCTGGACTTCTCAAATCTGACCATTCCTTCTCTATAAGGACAGCTCTAAACAAACAATTATTTCATGTCTGAACCACTACAATTGAGCCTTATCTACTTTCTCTGCAATCCTTTAAGTCAAAACAGCTAAAGACAATTTAAAAACTTGATTGATTCAGATCGCATTCATTCCTAACTTTGAATATTCCAATATGTTTTTCTTACTGCTTTTTCAATAGAGTCTTTTTTGTTTGTTTAGTCACAGGCTACAAGGTCATCTTACACTATCTAGGTCCTGCCTACTTCAGTGGGCTCATTGTCTCCAGCTTCGAGGTTTCTTTTACTACCTTCTGGTCACTCTGGCTGTCTTTCTGCCCTTTGGATTTGGTAACTGTGTCCTCTCTGGACCTCTGAACTCTCTATTTCCTCTATTTGAGTCATTTTCTTACTGGATCCCTCATGATTACCACCATCACATTTTAAGGTCCAGATGAACTTTAATTTTCTTTGAGAGGCGTTCTGTAAACATCCTACAAAAAGGACTACCTCATCCTTTGTAAAACATTTTTATTAAGTGTTTTCCTATCACTATCAGCTACTTGCCTGGGTAGATGTAATATATGCATTTACAGTATTCACAATCAATGATTAGTTTATTGTTTGCTTTCCCCAATAGAAAATAGACCCCATAAAAGCAGGGTTTATTCACTACTCTATTCCCAGCATCCAGAATCTTATTAGTACATAGTGGATGCTCCAAATATAGACACTGTGTACACGATGTTTTGCCCTCCATTCTGTTTCCTAAGCTTTACTGGTTATCTTCATATGCATGCATTCACCAAGGCTATGAAAATAAAATACAAGCCCCCACCTACAACTTTGCAGACCAAAGGATAATGCTGAAGGAATAAGCAACTGACTCAACATTGCTTAATGTTGATGCAGGCCAAATAAATAAGTGTCAATTGAGAAATAATACAATAAGTAAAGCAACTTAAAGCCAACATAATACCTTGATTACTTCTAAAGTTGATAATACTGGAGATTATATCTGAGGGAAAGTGAAATTCCTAAAACCAAATTAGGGAGTCTTTTTTTTTTTTTTCTTTTTCTTTGAGACAGGGTCTCATTCTGTCACCCATGCTGGAGTGCTGGAGTGCAGTGGCACAATTATAACTCACTGCAGCCTCTAACTCCTGGCCTCAAGTAATCCTCCTGTCTCAGGTTCCCAAGTAGCTGAAACTATAAGCATGCTCCACCATGACCAGGTAATTTTTTGTTTCAATTTTTTTCTCTTTTTTGTAGAAATAGGGTCTTGCTATGTTGACCAGGTTGGTGACAGTCTTAATTAGCAAGCCCCAGGCAGGGCTAATAATCACAGCCTCATCATATAGAAGGATGTCTCTGTAAAACTAAGGACATGATGCAGGCATGGATGTTAGCTATTTAGACATAGTGAGGAATGGCTGAGCTACATAGGTCCAGGTTCTTCTTTTGAACTTACCACTCAGGTTAAGTCTATTCTTATCTCCTGCAGAGAAGTGAATGAGAGGGCGGAGATAGGTAGGCAGCAATGGTCTAATCATGGAGTTTGCACTAATGGACAGAAACGTAAGAGTGGTGAGGAAATACCCCTCCAGCTTATGACTAACACTATAATTTTTTTAGAATGTATATAGTTGATTAAATTATGGTCATACATTACCTTTTCTCATTTTTAACTTTTGAAATAATTTTTTATTAATCCTGAAAGCCAAAGAAAAAGACCCTAGTATTGAATATTACAGATTCAGATGAAATGGCCATAACTATAAGGAAAATTGGTGATCTTTAAGAATAACTTCTTAAGATATGATCCTTGGTAATTATCATAATAAGACTAACATTTGAAATGTATTTTAAGTCAACACTTTAATTCGGTAGGCACTTAGACGAAGCTGAAATGGGAAAATTACCCATTTTTATTGAAAAATGATTGCTTATTATGACTAAATTTGGGAGCTCTGCATTATTTACCTACTGTGATAAACAGACATTAAAATGGTTATTGCTAAACGAAGGGCTTAGCTTCAATTTTCTCTACTCTAAACATAACAGAATATATTAAGCATGTAGAAATGTTTTGAACTCAGTGGGAAGTTATATTGATAGTACTAGTTTTTCAAGTTGAAAACAAAGTGGTTTTATAATGTCTTTGGGATTTTATGTTACTTTAGTGTTCAAAGATTTTTACCAACCATAATTGAGATCATCACTTATGCAAAGCATCGTAGTGGGTGATCAATAAAGCAATCAGTACAATGTAAATTCTAGGGAGTAGATGGGGAGTTTGCTGAGACATGACTACCGTATGCTACCTCAGTTTTTTTCTTGGAAAGGAAGTGGTCCCATTATGCTGACCCTGCTGTTTCTTACCATTTTCTGTGTCCTACAGTTCCTTGTTGATACCTCCTGGACTTTATTTCTCTGTAAGATGATTTTTACTAGGTAAATCTTTCCATGTTATCACATCTATTTCTTTCTAGCCCTAGTTCAAGTCCATGTGTGGGTCTCATCAATGATTTCTGTGATCCTCATTAGGTTGATCAGAAGCAAGCAGATTTTGAATAATCCTCTTTGAGCTTTCCTCCCCTACTGCCCTGAATTATTACAGGATGGTGAATTACCTCATTCTGGGAATCTGTGATACTAATGCTTATCCTAATCTGATTTCTAATGTGAATAAAGTGGAAAACAAACATATCTACTTGCCAACCATGACCAATTGACTACGAAATTAAAGATGCTGGAATTTCTGCTGAACTCCACTGAATTAAGAGATTTTTACCAGATTGTGAAAAAAATCTAGAGAAAATGACTTGTTTAAGAGCACAATAAATCTAGTTATTGGTATTCTAGGCTCTAGGGATGATCACACTGTTTAAAGTTAAGTAGATTAATGTAGCCACCACATTAACCCATTTGACTAAAAAAATGCATTAATTATGAATTATTTCAGGAAAACAATTCCAGAAGTTAAAGTAAAAACAATAAGTGGTGTGTATGGTGGCCTCTCTAATGTAGGCTGCCCATCTTTCTGCATCTGGGTTTGGGCGTTGAAGCAGCAGAAGCATAAATAATGCAATGACCTCTAGCATGACTCAGAACCATAGACATAAGACCAGCATCTTTTGGTAGGGTGTATTCCACGAGAAAGGATCTCAGGTGCTTGGTGGGTTCAGAAAAATGACACTCATGTGTCTTCAGTCCACAGTCTGTGGTGGAGGCTGGTTTGAACCTAATCGTCTCCATGGACTGTGAGTAACATTGGAACAATCTTTGTAGGATATGTATCTACATTGATTTGCCTATAGCAAATACTGTGGTGAAGTGTGGTTAGTATGCTTGCAGGTAGGGGGATAAGTATCAGCTTGACGTGCTCTTGGGGAGAGTGTTTATTGAAGCCTTCATAGGTCAAAAAATTGTCCTCTGGCCTCTGACATTTTAGACACAAACTTGCATATGAACATCAAGTAAACTGAACTCAAAATTACCTGCTGATAGTAGTAATAGGCTAAGAATTAGAATGCAAAGGATGAGAGGGTAAGAGAGAAAGTGGGGATTCACAAATTTTAAAGGGAAATATGTGTTATTCTTTGATGAATTTTATAATACCCAATGATACAATGCAAATGATTACAACCTTATCATCTTAGAACTTTTTACATTACTTTATTTAATTTTTCCAGCAATCATATGGTGCACGTACTACGTTACTTCCCCCATATTATAGATGAAGTCACACAGGGCTAGAAAAGCTAAGCAAGATGTCTAAAGTTGCACAGATTATGAAGAGCAAAGGAGCATATTGAATGCAGGACTGGCTGCCTCCAAAACCCATGTCCCATATATTACCCTAGCTTGGCATTTGCATCGTTTCCTAGAAGCTTTGTGTTAGAGTCATAGAACTGGACTTTGAGCCCGGCTCTGATTCTTCCAACTCTTTGATATTCTGCAAATTGCTTAATCTCTAAGTCTCAGTTTTCTTACCTGTACAATAGGGATACTGGTATCTATTTCAGATGCCATTGTTAAAAGTGTGTGAGAGTGTGTGTAAAGTGATTAGCACAGGGCTTGAAACATGATTAAGCACTCAACACATGGTAGTCAAAAACAGAAAGAATGAAGAAAATACAAGATTGATGCTAGAATACAATAAGAAGCACATCATTTAGAGGGACTGTGTAGCAATATTTCCCTGAAATAAATATTGCTACCTAATTTTATCTCACAAATCTCATTTTCACACCTTTTTTGGAATAATATATTTATTTTAAATGTTATTAGGTCAGCCATGGTGGCCCATTCCTATAATCCCAGTACTTTGGGAGCCTCAGGCAGGAGGATCACTTGAGCCCAAGAACTTGAAACCAGCCTGCATAACATAGTAAGACTCTGTCTCGAAGAAAAAAATTTTTTAAGTAGCCAGGTGTGGTGGCATGTGCCTTTAAGTCCCAGCTAATTAGAAGGCTGAGGTGGGAGGATTGCTTCAACCCAGGAGTTAGAGATTTTAGTGAACTACAATTGCGCCACTGTACTCCAACCTGGGCAACAGAGCAAAAACACAATCTGTAAAAGAATAAATAAATATTATGTTTGACTTAATATGGAATTATGTTAGTTGGCCTCAGAGCATGCAGAAGATACTGTAGCCTCTGTAACGCTGAGTCCTTCTGTATTTTCCATTGTGGCAGGTCTTTAGGTACAGTTAGACATTAAGTACTAAAAGATGGAGTGAGCCATTGTGACAGGACAAACGATGTGCTCTGCTTTCTTTATGAGCAGGGAAAGTAAGCCTTCAATGTTAATAATTACAAAACATCTTTATATCAACAATATTTATGTAAAATTACGTGTTTTTAGTGTTTGAATTTTGAGGCAAATTTATATATGGAAATATTTGATGTAGTTTTTTTTTAAATTTATGAAGAAAAGAGGTTTAAGTAGCTCATGGTTCTGCAGGCTATACAGGAAGCACGGCAGCTTCTGCTTTTGAGAAGGCTTCAGGAAACTTACAATCATGGCGGAAGGCAAAGAGGGAACGAGGCATCTCACATAGTGGGAGCAGGAACAAGGGCGTGAATATTTTTCTTAAGATAATCTTGAAAATACTTTGTAATCTATTGAGAACTACATATTTGTCAATCATTCTCATTATCCAATTTTACTGACCATGAATATCATTCCACTTCACTAAGCTTTTATCTGGAACATAGTATTTTTTTTTTCTTACATTTGAACACCCATGGCATTTTTATAGCTTATGGTACTTCTCCTTCTAGCAAAAATAAATAAATAAATAAATATAAAAAATAAAGAAAAGAAAACTCTTTCCAAAAAGTCATTTTTTACTTAGTTAAAATAAAGGTTTTTGGAAGAAATATCTACTTTTAAGACCTCTTTACACAAGTCACTTTTTAGTTAAAAAGATTTCAATCATCAGATAATATGACAATTTTGTCACCATGCAAAATGTGAAAACTGTAATTAACATAAAGCATTTCACAAAAGTATGTGACAATATAAATATCACTTGGGCAATCAAATCATGAAATCCTTCAGGAGAAAGAGAAAAAAAAAGCACTTGGCATTCCATCTTCATAGGAACCATGAAATGTCTTTAATAATTTGGTATTGCTATAGCTCTGCTGGAATGAATACAAACAACTATAAACGTCCAATAATTTTTATAATGTCTTAAGTTAATTATACAAATATTTCCCTAGCTTTACTCTTTTCACCTACATTTTAAATATGTTCTCTAGGGCATCATTTTAAAATGGCAGTCTTTAGTCCAACAGTGATACCTAATTATATATTGCCATTTGAACAAACATTTACTTTCTATCTTTCCATCCAAGTAGACATATTTTAATGAAAATGTATTAAAAATTAAATAGATTACATGTATAAGGATGTTCCTATATCTTAATATTTAAACTGTGAAAGAAAATAGAATCTTGGGACCCCAAAGTTACTATGCCAAAGGGAAAGTTAAACCTGGGAATTGAGTCTCCCGATGCTGTTTTTCTTTTGTTCCCAAACAGAGAGCTGCAATTTTACAACCCTATATCATGACCTCATCCATAATCCAGGTACCCATCATGATAGAAAGTCACATATCTCCCCAGAAGGCCTCCTTCACCGATTGGTCACAAGGAAATTCCTTGTGAACCCCTAAATCTTTCAGGATGCATATCCCTCCCTATAAACTAGCCCTAAAACCAAGTTCTGTTGAAATCTCACCCTGACAGTGTCAATTACCAGCTTATGTTCACAGAGAGAGGACAAGGACAAGACCAGAAATCATCCCTCCACCTACACTGAGATGAATGCATAATTGACTTTTTCTTCTACTTTCACTTTTCACACGTAAAGTGTAGATTTACTGAGGTTAATCAGAGCCTCACCAGAATGCAACTATTTGCCTCACTGCCTACCTTCCCTTCTTTTATTTCCCTCTCTTGCTTGCTCTTTCTTCTTTAAATACTGAAGTTCCCAAAACTCCCATTGTTTTGAAAAAGCACAGGTCACAGATGCTCTTGTAACTTGCCTTTCATTCTGGGCATGTCCTCGACCTTGGCTAAATAAACCTCTATTTATTGAGAGCTGCCTCAGTCACTTTTTGGTTAACCAAGCTTAAGACATAATAAAAGTTATTGAGAGGCAAAAGTTGCATATCGTGTGTTATTTAGAAATGAAGCTCATGATATATTTGGATCTAAGTATGGTGATACATATGTCACTGTAACAACTGATAGGAAAAGTGTATCTTTTATTATTAGAATACAAGTATTAAGATATCTGCCAAAGGCGCTGTAGAACATCAAATTCATCATATACATTTACACTGGCAAAGGATTGAAGTAACAGAGGTAATAAATGAATTGATCTGATAATTTAGAATAAAAATACATTTCTGGATGTCTTGGCCTTAGTATACAATACGAAGCAATGATTTCTGGCTGTGGTATTTGGTGGCTTCCTATAGCTCCAGTTCCTTCTTTCCTACATATTTGATGTACAGCTGCTGGATGAAGAGCATGGCTCTTGTCACTACTCTAATCAAGATCTGTAAGGAGCTTCTTGTTGCCTACGTGGTAAAAGCCTAAACTCTTCAGACTGACCTTCAGACCTGCCATTTCAACAGCATTGCCTCCATTCTCCACCAGGCTCCTGTGTTGCCATTAAACTGATCTCCTTGCTGAGTCTGGATCTGTGATTTTTCTACCTTACCGACTTGAGCCAGCTTAAATCCTCTGTTTCTGATTCACCCAGGGGGCAATAAATTTGCCCCCTCAGAACTGCCACAGCTTTCAGCCCTCACCTCTACTGATTTATGGCTCTTAATCATTTTTCTTTTTGTTATGGTAATTTTTAGAATCTCTGCCCACGTTCACCTTCCAAATGTTAACCCCTAAAGGGGATGTCTGTGTTTCACTCACCTTGCAGATGTTAACAAGTATAATAACATTGTTGCTCCCTTTCTGCCAGCTGCTCTCTCCCTGTACCCCATCTTCTATGATTGTTCTCTCCTGGAAGAATAAAGATATCCATCAGAGGGGGTCTTGACCAGGTGGGAGAAGACAGAGAAACATCACTTTCAGCCACTAGAAGGATGGTGGAAAGTAAATCATGGCATAAGTAGGAGTAGCAAAGTAGGAGGGTGTTTACTGGTCTCTTCCTTCCCTATCCTGGCAGAGAATCACATTCTTGCATGGTGGGTATAGATTGAGAGCAAAGTCTAGAGGAAAATGGTTTTTGCTCCTTTTCTCTCCCCCACAGCACCAGCATGGGGCAGTATCATCCGAGTAAAAGTGGCAAGGTGTTGTGGTTGACAGAAAGTCTGGGTACAGTTTTCTAGTGTCCTTTGGCCTCCTAAGTCATGTGTGGACAGTATCTAGAAATCCCCTGTGGCCCTGTGGAGGAATCTTTGGTCGCACCAACAGTGCTAACTGGAGACTCATCATTTTCCCATTGTAATGCCCAAGGAGGAGGTGATTGGGCTGAATAGCATTATGACTAATGATATTTTTATAGTGACTGGAAATTAGTGCTTATGTGGTTTTGCCAAAAAGACATATGTAAAGACAAAAATACTTGAGGAAGGCAGGATTATTGGCCATACTTCCCTCCTTAAGATCATTTTAAGGAGGTATCAAAGGAGCACCCGTACTTACCACAGAATGCCTGGGAAAAGACCCCTGGAAGCATCTAAGAATTACTGCATCTTTACCAGTCAGTCCCAGAATGGGTGATGAAGCTGGAACAGACTTACCAAAGAAATCATGGTGCTATATTCCAGCTCACAGCAACAAAGGGCAAATCCAAAATGTTTCCACCCTCATCCACTTCCAGATTTTAAAAGGTCAATTTAAATTCACTATTCCACTAAAGAATCTACCTCTTTCCCTCAAAAAGAAAAAATACATATTTGATTAGAATACTGTATTTATATTACTGAACATCTTAACTACAAAGAAACAACGGTGTTTGGGTATTTATTTTTCCCTCTAAAAGCTCAAAACATACCAATGTATAAGGATTTTGATTTAATCCTATTATAAGTAAGCATACCATATCTACCTTCCTAAGATTTGTCATTTTCTAATATTCCATTAAATTGGTGTTTATTAGGGTTGTAGAAGGATAAACTGGGGAAAGCACAGCAAATAAAGAAATATTACAGTAAATACATTATCTGGAAAGATACTTTCAAGCTGTATAATAAATCTTAATTACACAGAAAAAAAAAGTAGTGTACATATTACTATAGCCTCACTAAAATTGAATCATTTGTTTAGTCTCATTCTACTGAATGGTTTAAATACTCTATTCCTCATCTCATAATTGTAGGAAATGAAACCCAACTTTTCACTTGCTTTTGAGTATGTGAAGTAATTTGAACGGATGGAATATGTTCTCTCTACTTTCCTTGCCCACAATATATAAAACTCAAAGTCAAATGATTACTTTTATTATTAATTTTGATTCTGGTTCATTTAGTGCAACAATTTCTTTTATGTTCAATTAGCTGGCTTCTCCACAGTATTAGCATAAAGATAACTTTTTTATTTTAACACAACAGCATTACTGTCTAAATTTTAGTTTTTACTTATTTTAATTTTCAAGATAGTAAATTCCATATAACTATGATTCGATGATTAAAATAGAGGTTTTAAATCATAGCATTCAAATTCTTTGACATTTCTTCCATTAATAAGTGACACTTGAGGTCTTCCTTTTTCAAATAAGGTGGTCTTGTGACTTCCTTATAACTAACAGCATATGGCCGAAGTGGAGCTGTGTGACTTTTGATGCTGGGTGATAAGAGGCAGTGCAGCTTCCACCTTGTTTTTTGGAACCCTGTGCTTGGAGCCCTCAGCTGCCATGTAAAATGTCTGCCTACCCCGAGGGAGGGAGCCAAGTTGCAAAGGGAGGACACATGTAGGTGCTCTGCTCAGCAGTTCTAGTCTTCAAGTCCTTCCAGCCTATGTGTTGGACATGTGAGTGAACCAGTCTTCAGATGATCCCTGTACTGAACCATGGAGTCACATCTAGGCTTGGAGTCTTCCCAGCTGAAGCTTCAGACATTCTGGAGCAGAGACAAACTCTCCCCAAACCTCCTCAAATTCCTTACCCACAGAATCTCTGAGCATAATAAGATAGTCATTAATGCCATCATTTAGAGTGGTTGTTACACAGCAATAACAATTAGAACCTTACACTTAGTTCTTCATGTAAAAAAAAAAATCAGCACAGATTAGAGGAAAATAAAGAGACTAACATATGGCTTTTCTAATTTCTAACAAATATTTTCATTCCTAAAATTGTATGTCCTTCTGAGATAACTTGCTAAAATAGTATAACTAAGGTTCTTATATTTTTAAAATAATTTTATTAACTTGCTTAGAATATCTCATATTAAATATAATTGAAATGTTAAAAAATTCATTAATATACAAAAATGATCATCAGCAAATAGCTACTGAGATCTTGGTATATTCGTGACACTCTACTTGAAAAGTAAAATGTACATAAATTACAAGTGAAAATCATTTAATTTAAAAGGATGTATCCCAAGTAGTATTTAATACAGAAATCTGACTGGTCAGTCATTGATCATAACTACAGCTGTGGTCTTTTTCATGGCATAATCTGTCATCTTTGGTTAATATCTTTTCAATGTTTTCTCTGAGGGCCTGCATATTAGTCAAATGGATAAATGGATTTTTATTGCTATGGTTCTGTACTACAGAATCTGTCACTGGATAATTTTATTAAGGAATGGAATTGAACTTTTAAGACAAATCAGTACAGAAAGGTGGGAATCATTGTGATATATAGTATTTACAGGTCATGGTCCATTTTAACACACTTACTGGGTCTTTAGTAAATAATCATTGTATAAAAGAAATGCAAATTACAATGGAAAATGGAAACTTTTTAAAAAATGATAATATCCATTACTAGTAAAGGCATAGGGAAAACAGCCTGTCCAACCCCCACACAGATACATTGATAGAACACCCTTACAGTAAGCTTGTTATTATTTATCAAAAGCCTTACAATTTTGCTTTTTTCCTTGACTTACAAGTCTATTTCTAGAAATTTGTTATAAGGGAATAATTGTAACACAGGCAAAGATTTATCTATAAATTTATTTATTTAAAAATGTGTAATATTGAAGCATTGAAAGCAAACTGAACTGGTTTTCTGTTGCTACTATAACAAATTACCATGAATTTAGGACTTTACAATTACACATATTTGTTATCAATAACACATATTTATCATCTTACAATTCTGTATGTCAGAAACCTGACACGGGTCTCAGTGGGCTAAATCAAGCTGTTCGCATAAATGTTGTCCTTCTGGAAGTTATGAATGAATTCCATTTCTGTACATTTTCTAGTTTCTAGAGAGTAGTGCTTGGCTCGTAGCCCCCTTCCTACATCTACAAATCTTTTCCCCTCCTAGCCTGGAGGAGTTTTCTACTGTTAAGGGGTTATGTGATTATTATTGGGACCTCCTGGATATTCCAGGATACTCTCCGCATCTCAAGATTCCTAGTCTAATCACTCCTGCAAAGTCTCTTTCGTCCTATGAGGTAATATATTCACAGGTTCCAAGAATTATAGTGTGGACATATTTAGAGGGCCATTATTTTGTCCATCACAAAAGCTATAGGTATAAGAAAAGGATATGAATTAAATAATTGGGATACTTGGTGTTCTATATAGTCATAAAAACTAAGTTTTATGCAGAATAATGATAATTAACAATATTAAAGTATTAACTGCTAATCATTTGTGATGGTTAATACTGAGTGTCAACTTGATTGGATTGAAGGATACAAAGTATTGATCCTGGGTGTGTCTTTGAGCTGCCAGCATGGCTAGACTATAAGCAGACAGAAAAATGTGAAAAGAGAGACTGACCTAGCCTCCCAGCCTACATTTTTCTCCCATGTTGGATACTTCCTGCCCTTGAACATTGGTCTCCAAGTTCTTCAGTTTTGGGACTCAAACTGGCTCTCCTTGCTCCTCAGCCTACAGAAGGCCTATTGTGGGACCTTGTGATCATGTGAGTTAATACTTAATAAACTCCTCTTTTTTATATATATACACACACATATGTATATATACACACACATATATACATATATGTATATATACACACATATACATATATGTATATATACACACATATACATATATGTATATATACACACATATACATATATGTATATATACACACATATATACATATATATGTGTGTGTATATATATACACATATATATATACGTATATATGTGTGTGTGTGTATATATATATATTCCATTCATTCTGTCCATCTAAACAACCCTGACTAATGCAGATTGTGGTACCAGCAGTAGTTCTAGAAGAACAGAATATTAAGGATGGAGTTCTTTCATTGGTTTTGAGGTTTCTGGATTTGGCTGCTTAATATGACTAGACCCCAAAATGCTAAAGACTCTACTTCTAATAGTATGGAGAGCATTGATAGTCCTTGGCAGGAACTGTTTAGAGAGTTATGCAAAATAAATGCATTTGACACTCCTGATTCATCACTCATAAGAGGCAAGGAGTTTAGCGACTCTATACATAATACCATTGACCATATGTCAAGAACCAAGGAACACAATGAAGCTGGTTGGTCCCTCTTAAGTTCAGCGGACAAAGTGATGAAAGAAAATGATGACCTCAGGGATTCTATCTCCTGTCTTCAGAAGCAGATACTGAGCCTCAAATCTGCTAAGACTGCCCTGAGTGAGAGTCTTACCTCCTGGAGAGAAAGAGCTAAAACTGTGGAAAAACAGACACAAACTTATCATGTGAGTGGCTGACTTGCAATGAAAGCTGCATGCACAGCCTTGCCAGGTGTCTACTGTTAAAGTGAGGGCATTGATTGGAAAAGTATGGGACCCTGCAACTTGGAATAGAGACATGTGGGAGGACCCTGATGAAGCTGGGAACACTGAGCTCTGAATTGAAATAGGATTAAAAGACGGCCCACTGTGAGCAAGCTGGAAATGCCTGATCTCCCTTGGTTTACTGTAGAGGGAGGGATCCAAAGGCTTAAAGAGATTGGGATGATGGAGTGGATTAGTCACTTTAGACCTACTCATTTCAGCTGGGAGGGCCAAGAAGATATACTCTTGACCAAAGCCTTGTGAAATAGATTTGTGAGGGCAGCACCTGCATCATTGAAGAACCCTATAATTGCTTTTCTCTGTATGTGAGATCTAACAGTGGGAACTGCAGTCACTCAACTACAAAATTTAAATACAATGAGAATAATTGGATCCCAAGGTGGCAGAAGTCAAGTGGCAGCACTCAACCATCCAAGGCAAGATGGACAGCAGAGGCAAAGCAACAATCAGAATAGTCTGACTCATGTAGGGCACTGACATTGGCTAATTAATCACAGTGTTCCTAGAAGTGAAATTGATAGGAAGCCTGCTGCATTCCAATTTAATTTATATAAACAGAAAATGTCTAGCTTAAATGTACAAAAGACTAATTTGAATTACAGAAACAGAGAATCATAGCCCCTCAATCAATTTCCAGAGTTGAGCCAGTTTACAGACCCAGAATCCCTTGAATGAAGGAGAGGCCAGGTCCCCTTGAGGAAGGGCCCCACTACATTACCAACAATTTATGCAGTGAATCTTTCTCCCATCCTTCCCCAGTGAGAACTCCAGCCTTTTATCAGGGTAACTGTGCAATGGGGAAAGGGAAATGATCAGATATTTCAGGGACTACTGGACCCTGCCTCTGAGCTGACGTTGATTTTAGGGGACCCAAAATGTCACTGTGGTCTTCCGGTTAAAGTAGAGGCTTATTGAGGTCAGATAATTAATGGAGTTTTAGCTCAGGTCTGACTTACAGTGAGTCCAGTGGGTCCCTGGACTCATCCTGTGGTCATTTTCCCAGTGTGAGAATGCAGAATTGGCATAGACATACTTAACAGCTGGCAGAACCCCTGCAATGCCTTCCTGACTGGTAGGGTGAGAGCCAATATGGTGGGAAAAGCCAAATGGAAGCCTTTAGAGCTGCCTCTACCTAGAAAAATAGTGAATCAAAAACAATATTGCATCCCTGCAGGGATTGCAGAGATTAGTGCCACCATCAAGGACTTGAAAGATGCAGGAGTGGTGATTTCCACCACATCCCCATTTAACTCTCCCATTTGGCCGGTGCAGAAGACAGATGGATCTTGGAGAATGACAGTGGGTTATCGTAAGCTTAACCAAGTGGTGACTCCAATTGCAGCTGCTGTACCAGATGTGGCTTCATTGCTTGAGCAAATTAACACATCTCCTGATACCTGGTATGCAGCCACTGACTTGGCAAATGCCTTTTTCTCCATTCTTGTCCATTAGGCCCATCAGAAGCAATTTGCCTTCAGCTGGCAAGACCAGCAATATTTTTTACTGTCCTATCTCAGGGGTATATCAACTCTCTGGCTTTGTGTCGTAATCTTATTCGGAGAGATCTTGATCACTTTTCGCTTCCACAAGATATCACAATGGTCCATTACACAGATGACATTACGCTGTCTGGATCCAGTGAGCAAGAAGTAGCAAACACACTGGACTTATTGGTGAGACATTTGCATGCCAGAGGATAGGAAATAAATCCGACTAAAATTCAGGGATCTTCTACCTCAGTAAAATTTCTAGAGTTTCAGTGGTGTGCAGACTGTTGAGATATTCCTTCTAAGGTGAAGATTAAGTTGCTGCATGTGGTCCCTCCTACAACCAAGAAAGAAACACAATGCCTAGTGGAGCTACTTGGATTTTGAAGGCAACACATTTCTCATTTAGGTGTGTTACTCTGGCCCATTTATCAAGTTACCCAAAAGGCTGCCAGTTTTGAGTCTGGTCCAGAACAGGAGAAGGCTCTGCAACAGGTCCAGGCTGCTGTGCAAGCTGCTCTGCCACTTGGGCCATATGATCCAACAGATCCAACGGTGATTGAGGTGTCAGTGGCAGATAGGGATACTGTTTGGACCCTTTGGTAGACCCCCATAGGTGAATCACAGTGGAGGGCTCTAGGATATTGGAGCAAGGCCCTGCCATCTTCTGCAGACAACTACTCTCCTTTTGAGAGACATCTCTTGACCTGTTACTGGGCTTTGGTGGGAACTGAACGTTTGACTATGGGTCATCAAATCACCATGCCACCTGAACTCCCTATTGTGAACTGGGTGCTTTCTGACCCATCTAGCCATAAAGTCGCTCATACACAGCAGCATTCCATCATCAAATGGAAGTGTATATGTGATCCAGCTTGAGCAGGTCCTGAAGGCACAAGTAAGTTACATGAGGAAGTGGCTCAAATGCCCATGGTCTCCATTCCTGCCACCCTGCCTTCTCTCCCTCAGCCTGTACCAATGGCTTCATGGGCAGTTCCCTATGATAAGCTGGCAGAAGAAGAGAAGACTAGGACCTGGTTCACAGATGATTCTGCACAATATGCAGGCACCACCTGAAAGTGGACAGCTATAGCACTACAGCCCCTTTCTAGGACATCCCTGAAGGACAGCAGTGAAGGGCAATCTTCCCAGTGGGCAGAATTTTGAGCAGTGTACCTGGTTGTGCACTTTGCATGGAAGGAGAAATGGCCAGATGTGTGATTGTATACTGATTCATGGGCTGTAGCCAATGGTTTGGCTGGATGGTCAGGGACTTGGAAAAAGCATGATTGGAAAACTGATGACGAAGAAATTTGGGGAAGAGGTATGTGGATGGATTTCTCTGAGTGGGCAAAAATTGTGAAGATATTTGTATCCATGTGAGTGCTCTCCAACAGGGTGACCTCAGCAGAGGAGGATTTTAATAATCAAGTGGATAGGATGACCTGTTCTGTGGACGCCTCTTTCCCCAGTCACCCCTGCCATCGCCCAATGAGCCCATGAACAAAGTGGCCATGGTGGCAGGGACGGAGGTTACACATGGGCTCAGCAACATGGACTTCCACTCACCATGGCTGACCTGGCTATGGCCACTGCTGAGTGCCCAATTTGCCAGCAGCAGAGACCAACACTGAGCACTCGATATGGCACCGTTCCTCAGGGTTAGCAGCCAGCTACCTGGTGGCTGGTTGATTATATTGCACCTCTTCCATCATGAGAAGGGCAGAGGTTTGTCCTCATGGGAACAGACACTTACTCTGGATATAGGTTTGCCTATCCTACATACAATGCTTCTGCCTAGACTATCATCTGTGGCCTCATGGGATGCCTTATCCACTGTCATGGTATTCCACACAACACTGCCCGTGACCAAGGCACTCTCTTTACAGGTAAAGAAGTGCAGCAGTGGGCTCATGCTCATGGAATTCACTGTTCTTACCATGTTCCCCATCATCCTGAAGCAGCTGGATTGATAGAATGGTGGAATGGCCTTTTGAAGTCACAATTATAACACCAACTAGGTGACAATATTTTGCAGAGCTGGGGCAAAGTTCTCCAGAAGGCTGTGTATGCTCAGAAGCAGTGCCCGCTATATGGTACTGTTTCTCCCATAGCCAGGATTCATGGGTCCAGGATTCAATGGGTGGAAGTGGAAGTAGCACTAACAAAATGTTTGCTTCCTGTTCCTACAACATTACATTCTGCTGGCCTAGAGGTCTTAGTTCCAGAAGGAGGAATGCTGCCACCAGGAGACCCAATGATTCCATTAAGCTGAAAGTTAAAATTCCCATGTAGACACTTTGGGCTCTTCCTACTTTTAAGTCAATACGCTAAGAAGGGAGTTACAGTGTTAGCTGGGGTGACTGACCTGGACTGTCAAGAAGAAATCAGTCTACTACTCCACCACGAAGGTAAGGAAGAGTATGCATGAAATACAGGAGATCCATTAGAGTGTCTCTTAGTATTACCATGCCCTGTGATTAAGGTCAATGGAAAGTACAACAGCCCAATCCAAACAGGACTACGAATGACCAGACCCTTCAGGAATGAAGGTTTGCATCACTCTACCAGGAAAAAAAAACAACACACACACATACACACACACACACTCACACACACACCCTGCTAAGGTGCTTGCTGAAGGCAAAGGGAATACAGAATGGATAGTAGAAGAAGGCAGTCATCAATACCAGCTATGACCAGGTGACCTGCTGCAGCTATGGGGACTGTAATTGTCATGAGTTATTTCCTCCTTCTTTTGTTAAAAATATGTTTGTGCTTGTATACACTTGTACTAAGAAAATATCTTCATTTTATTTCCTTTCTCCTTTCCCATGTGACATAAGAGTTTTTGACTTCACATGAGCATTTAAGTGTTGTTAACTTTATGTAATAGTGTTCGGGTTGGGGATTGGTGGGTTTCCGTTTGTATGAAAGATAGCTGTATTATGTTAGGCATAATTATGACCTTATTACTGTCATTATTTGAAGATTATGTATGATATCAGGAAATGCATATGGGTTCAAGTTGACAAAGGTAGACTTGTGATGGTTAATACTGAGTGTCAACTTGATTGGATCTAAGGATACAAAGTATTGATCCTGGGTGTGTCTGTGAGGGTGTTGCCAAAGGAGATTAACATTTCAGTCAGCGGGTTGGGAAAGGCAGACTCACCCTTAATCTGGGTAGACACAATCTAATCATCTGCCAGCTTGGCTAGAATATAAGCAGGCAGAAAAATGCGAAAAGTGAGACTGACCTAGCCTCCCAGACTGCATCTCTCTCCCATGCTGGATGCTCCCTGCCCTTGAATATCAGACTCCAAGTTCTTCATTGTTGGAACTCGGACTGGCTCTCCTTGCTCCTCAGCTTGCAGACAGCCTATTGTGGGACCCTGTGATCCTGTGAGTTAGTACTTAATAAACTCCCATATATATATATATATATATATATATATATATATATATATATATGGCATATATATAAAACATATATATATAAAACTCCCATATATATATAAATATATATATATTCCATTAGTTCTGTCTCTTTAGAGAGCCCTAATACAGCATTGCTCTAAAAGTTTAACTTAGTTGATGCTTACTAAATTCTCCCAAAAACTCTATATGTGCATTATTACCCCTCCCATTTTATAAATAAGAAAACCAAAGCACAAAGAGCTAAGCAATTTACCTAAGACTACATAGTTGATAAATGGCAGAGCTTGGATTATGAAACTCAATGTCTGGCTGCAGAGTCCATGAACTTAATAGTTAATAACCTGGATACATGTTTTTGGTCTATTGTCAAGTGAAAAAAAGCAGGTTAAAAGATGTTGTGCATGATATCACCCTATTTTTGTTAGAAAATGGTTTGTATAAAAATGACATCAATTATCTCTGGATGGAAGAATTGGTGGCTATTTTCATCTTATATGCCATTAACATTTAAAATATACTATCATTTTCCTAATCATTATCCAAACAAGAAAAAAATCCATGTTAATATAAAATATATAATGTGTACAATGAGTCAAATAGGTTGGTTTTGTGATTGTAAAGATGTGATTATTATGCATCCTATGCCTGTATCGAAATGTCTCCTGTACCCCATAAATATATACATCTACTATGTACCCACAAAAATCTTCAAGAGAACTAATTTTTGCTTTCATGATTTAAAATAATGAATGGAGGCAATAAAACTCAGTGAAATTGTTTAGCAGAGTTGCAACGCCAAGCTTGAGCTTTTGGTGTAGCTGAAGTGATTGAGTGTTAGCAGTCTGTAACCCGGTTCACTCAGTGGCTGTGTGCCTACTGCATTGCATGAGTTGTTCTGAGAGATAAATGAGATAATAGATCTGAAACAACCTTGAAAACTACTTTAAAACAGTACGGGAAGGTGAGGCAGATGGAGGTGTGGAATGTGCAGCACATTTTCCCCATAGAAACAAGGCAATTCACAATACTTATGTCACCATATTAGTCAACAAAAGGTCTAACACCTTATATAGCAAAACAGTTTATGACCTTATTTCTAAGTGAAAATGCAATCAACATTCAAATTGGAGACATCTCTCTCCTTCACAAACGTCTGTGGAACTGTTGGGATTCTCTTTTTAGTCTCTTCTACTAAGACACTCAGTTCCAGGAATAATAGAAAACAGAATAGGAAGTGCATAGCCACATTAAGTTATAGAATTGCATCTATAACTAGGGTGCCCTTTCATAAGTCAGGCATTGCCTATACTGTATGTAAAGGATGTGATGCCAATTTAGAGATAAAATATGTGTGATTATTCTTCTAAATATTTTTGTCATCACTTTCGTATGGAATTCTAAAAGAATGACAGGGAAGTATATTGAAATAAAGGAGTGTGGTACAGTAGTTCGAAAAGCGAATTTTGGTGTCTTATAATCATGCCCTTCAAATTCTAATTCTGCCGCCAAGAACACGTGCACCCGTGATAAAAATATTTGATTTCTCTCTGAGTTTGTATATCTTTAGAATGTGCATTGTATCAACTCATGTGTTTCCTGTGAGGAATGAATGAGACGATGTAGGTTTAGTACATAAGGCAGTAGTTGCACATAGTGAAGTCTCAACATTGTTTGTAGTTCACACTTCTGAGAACACTGTGCCAATGACGTCAGATGAGGTATAAAAGCCCCTGGAGACTGCCTTAGGTTGGGATTCTCAAGAGGCAGGCTCTGACACAAGGATTTGAGTGGTTTATTTCAGAGGTGATCCCAGGAAGCAGTGGTATGAAAGCAGGGAGATGAGGCATGGAAGGGAAGGAAGCCAATTCAGAGCGCATGAATGAGCCAGTTACTACTGTGGACACCTAGGGCTCAATCTCGGTGGGGACCTTAATGGTGTAGACTAGAACATGTCTGACGGTTTCCCATATGAGGATTGAAGAAGCTGGGGTATTTATCCTCCAATTCCCATCCATTATTGCGTGAGGGTAGCTCTTAGGGCTGGAACCTTATTGTTCAGCCAAGCACCTCCAATGGCTAGAAAACAGACTGTCCCAAGTGATTACAAAAACGCAAGCATGGACTGAAAGGGCACAGTCCAAGAACTATGGTGGGGCACTGCTGGAGTCAGCTACAGATAGCATTCTGCTTTCCTATACAACCTAAAGATTACTCAGGCTATTGCTGGTTGCAGGGAAACCTCTGCAGGATTACGGAGGGATCCATATAAATGTGTTGTTCCTATGATTAATTTGAGGAGGTAATAGAATGCTTTTGACAGTATGGCAGCAGCTTCTTCAACAGTCAATTAACTTACAGCTTTCTGTTTGGCAATGCAAAATACCCATAGCCCTAGCAGGTACAGGACAGCTAACGTGTATAAAGACAGAAGAGCAACTAAGAGAAACATTTTCCACTAGATAACTGGCTTCAGTTTTACCAAAGGTTGTGGAACTATTACCTTCCAGGCTTTGCAGTGCCTAAGAGCACATATTGGGCTCTTGGGAATTTTATTAAACATTGAAAGACACTTTTCAGAAGAAAAGCCCCTTTACAAATGGGTCGATTAAAACCAGACATTCTCATTATAGCAATAAAATATCTGTGCTCCATAAATTTAACAAAGTTAATCCCTTTTTGGCTCCCTAGGACTGACGAAACGTTTCTGAAAATTCAGTGCCAGGCTCTGGAGAATAGTCTCTCTGCCCTATTCAATTTATTTGTATTTAGTCATTCTGATACGTCATAATGTTTATTCAAAGGAAGCAATCATTCGGGATCCTTATTTGTGGTTCCCAGCATAACTTTATCCTGTATAAATGCCATTTTTCTCAGTAGGCGCCAAGTTCCAGTTGCTACAGAGAGCTCTCTGCTTGATGTGGCTTCGTCATCTTAATCTCTTAAGAAGGGTGCTAGGGAGCTGTTTGCTATTTAGCTCCCTAAACCATCCTCTTATCAATCGCGACACTTCACCCCAATGAGTCAGTTCCTCAGTGGATCTCAACAAATAATCTTCACTTCCTGGAAAAGTTAGGATTGCTTTCCTTAGCTGCCAGGGCTAAAAAGGAAACTTGGTCCTAAATATCCACGCCCCAGGGGCAGCCACTTGGGCCAGCATGTTGCGCCCTTCAGCTTTCCGCCCGCAGGTGGCAGCAGCGGGCTCCGAAGCCTGTCTCTGCAGGTAGCAGCCGCTTCACAGCTTTCAGGCCGGTGCTCAGCGGAGGCTGGTGCATCTCCACTAGGAATCCACACCCAGCTGGGACTGCTGTGAAGCTGAAGTAACTGAGTATTAAACTAGTCTCCGACTCTTTAGTATTTTAAGTGAAAACAAACAACAGTTTGAAGCAGCAACAGCAACTCATTGCATCCCTATTCCCTCCGGTTGCTAATTTTTCCCAACTCCAGCAGCAACTCGGTCCCCTTCCCCAAGCAGGGTCGGCTCCGTAGCTCTCCGCGCTCCGACCCTTCAGATCCTCGGGAGCCCAGGGGAGCCAGGTGCTGGGCGGTGCGTCCGGTGCCGCCGCGCCCCTTCTCGCCACCTCTGGCCTCTCCGCCACTCGGGCTTTCCGGCCGCTCTGGATGCCTCGGTTGCACCCCTGTTCCATGACCCCAGCTTCCTTCCCTAACCCTCCTCTTGGTCCCTTCTCCCCCGAGCGCGCGCGCACACACACACTCGGTTCGCTCCCGCGGAGTGGCTCTGGGAGCACGACCGACTTCAGCTCAGCAAACCGCGGTCATGCCGCCCAGACTCCTCGCCCCGAGGCCCCGGTCCCCGCCGCCGCCGCTTTCGCGCCGCTCCTTTCCGCCTAGACACCGCCGCCTGCGGCCGCCTGGGCGGCAGCCCCTGCGGTCCTCAAAGTTGGCCCCCTGGGAGGGGGCGGCAGGGAGCAGGATGAAGGATTTGTTGTAGGAGGAGGATTCACACATCTGGGCGAAGGGAGGGGCAGCGCCGCTGCTGGGACGCGGCGCGGACCCGCATCATTGCGCGCAGCAGCCGCTGCAGCAGCCGCCGGGGACCGCGGAGCCGGGACGCCCCCGCTCGGCCCGCGCCCCGCTCCCCGCCCCACCCCCGCCCGCCGGGCCCAGCAACGCAGGGTGCCTAGGAGCCGCGGGCTGCGCAGGGAGGCGGGCAGCGGCCCTCGCGCGCTTCTGCCGCCCCCGGAGCCGGCGCGCGGCGAGCGCAGGGCGAGCGCGCGTCGGGCGGCGGCCGCGCTGGGGGGCGTGAGGCGAGCGGCGCGGAGAGCGGCAGGGGCGAAACTTCGCGGGCCAGATGCCCGAGGGCGCGGCGGCGCTGCCAGGCTGCCGCTGCTGCCCCTGCGGGCCCCGAGCGCGCCTCCGCAGGCGGCACTGCCCGCGGCGCGGCGTGTGCACCGAGCGAGTGAAGGTATGTGTGGCGGGCGCGGCTGGAGCTGCCGCCGCCGCCGCCGCCGCGCCAGCAGGTCCTAATGCCTGTCACTTCCCAGGACGCTGGCAGCAGCAGCAGCCCGGAGCCCCCGAGCCCTCGGCAGGTTTGCGTGTCCTTCCCCGCGATCTGATTGGATAAAGTGGGGGCTCGACGGTGGCCGACGTGGGACAGTCTGGCTGTGGCAGGGGTCTCGGAAACCATGGGTTATTGCAGTGGCAGGTGCACGCTTATCTTTATCTGTGGCATGCAACTGGTAAGTGACACTTGGGTCCCCTTATTCTGTAATGTGTCTTTGAGATAGTGGGCAGGGGAGTGCAGCAAAGGGTCTGCCATTGACTAGAATGGACGAAAAAGATAAAAGAGAAGGTGACAGATATATTGCCTATATTGAAGATGATTTCAGGGAGACGCACTCTGGGGTACAGGAGAGGTGAGCCTTTCCGTTCCCACCTATTTCTGTCCCTTTTAAGACAGTTTGGCAGGTGCGGGTTAAACTTGTCTTTAATTTCTTTAGGAAAAGCAAGATGTAGCTCTTGTTCTTTATGCTTTGCATTCCTATTCATGTAACAACGTGATTGTCACCTACAATTTACCGTACAGGTTGTTAAACAGAGGAATACGGAATTTTGGACTTTTCTTCTCTATACTAATTTTGCAGTATCTTTGTTTCTTCATAGACATGTTTTTTTTCTTTTTTTAAGGAAAATGTTGTCTTTAAGTATAATGCTCTAAAAAAACCACTGTTTAGGGCACATGGTATCCTTACAACAGTCTAATTTAGACTGTTTGAGTTTTAGCCACATTGAGTTTTTAAAGTATGCAGATTGAACAAAAATACTTAGGTGAACTCAGCAACACCATTGTCATAGACGGAACCAGTAACCTTTAAATCACAATTAACACAGACAATTCCAAGAAAAACTATTCTGTCTTACATTATGCATATTATTGCTCCTGAAATAGATACTGTTGTCTGATCCTATAGGATGGAGAATTCTATGTACTTTTTGAGGAATGTTGTACAGTTGCAAAGGGGCAAGGAACCAATAATGGAAAACGTCATGTCTCTGAATTTCAATTCCCTAAGGGCAATGGAAGGAGGGTCTGAGTAGAGAGTTGAGAGGTGAAAAATACACCACTCTAAGTGGTTAATTTGAGGTAGGAGCTACTTGCTCACACTTGTCATTAAATATATTTCCTTAGAAAGTATAAATTAACTGGAATAGTCATGTCCGTTTTCAACAACTGTTTCATAAAGGTTGAAGTGACTACAAGGCAGAAGATGTTTAAGTGTCCAATCAGTAAAGTGTTCAAAAGAGCAAGGATTTGCCATTGAAACTGGCAGAGGAATTCCTTAAGTGTTCTTGTTTATCAGTTGTCGTGAAGCCCATGAGTGTTAGTTATTGCTGCTTTGTTTAATATTTAGCTGAAACAGTGCTTTTTGTTGTGTGTTGTCTTAGGATGTTTTTCTTTCCCCTGAAAGTTATCTGATGGTGTCTATTTTGATCTGTGATTTATGCGCTTATGCACTTGGTTGTAAGACAAAGATGGAACTATAAATGTAATTTTCAGAATGTGGTAGTTTCTCAATGATGTGTAAACCAGTTTATTTTTCTGTACCACAGATTCATATAAGTTTTGCAATGAAGGATTTTTACTCTTAATAATAAAGCTAACCAAAACAATGAGGGAGTTTACTTTGTTAAACAACCCATTAGGCTAAGTCTGCCAAACTGTATAAAGGTTTTCAAAACATTCTTATTTTTATATATTATTCAGAAAAAGAATACATTTGCTGATTCACTGTGTGAAAGCATAAAAATGTGAGAATGAGTGGGTGTGTAGATCATTCTTATGCTCTTTTCGATTTAAAATTTGAAAAATGTGATTTAACTTCTAATCATGTAATATAATAGGGCTTTCTTATGGCAAATGTATGCACTAGGTCTGTATGACATTTTGTGTGATGAATACAAACTCCTCAAGAACTTAATTTTAGAAAAACATAAATATACCAGTAGGGAAGCTATCTATTCAAAGTAGAATGATAAAGCTAAAGGTTCCTTTGTGTTTTTATGTGCTCACATATGTGTGTATGTACATATGCTCTTGAGTACATGCATGCATCCATACATACAATGGTGTCTTGGAGAGTTGCACCATCACTTATGAAACAGAAATTCTGAATTATAATTAAGTTCTCTAACAGAATAGACG
Organism: Homo sapiens; assembly: GCF_000001405.40. NCBI lineage: Eukaryota > Metazoa > Chordata > Mammalia > Primates > Hominidae > Homo > Homo sapiens. Next base: position 123,806,219 of record NC_000006.12, read on the forward strand.
TAGCTGTAATACAGAAGAGCACAATCTAAGTAAGTGTACATTGGAATCCTAAGGAGTTTTTATATTATATGAGAATCATGTGATTTTTCCCATTCAGACTTTATGTGCCACCAGGCTAATATAATTAGCAGCCATGTTAACGCAGATGCAGAACAAAAAACAAAGGACAAAGAAAATGCAATTGTTTTGATAGGGTGAAATGATCACACCTCAAAGGACCTCAGAGATTCTTGGTAATTGTTGCTTTTTGGAAATACGGTATTTGATTTTAAATAAAATAATTCTTTTGCAAATTAATAGTTGCAAAGCCCTGCACTAAAAAATAGGTGGGTGTGTATGTTTTCCTTTTGCTCTCAATAGATTTTTAAAAACTTTTTATGTCTTTGCGCTATTATGAGTAGATTGTTTTACAAATAAACCAGGTTTCTAGACTAAGTTATGACTCATGTACCATTGACTGAAATAAAAGTTAACCCAGTTTTGTTTACTTCTCAAGTGTTTAGTATGTGTTCTTGTAACATTTGGGCATCTTTTTTTTGGTAACTGTACAGGAAAAAAGGCCAAAGAGACTCTAAGTTAGAAACTTTATTCAGTTGCTTTATTATGTGACTTGATTAAGGTTCTGGAAACATTAATCTCCAGTCCTCGGAGCAAAGTATTTGTATTTTAAATAAATTTAAGGGAATATTTACATCTGTACCAATTTGCAGCTAATCTTAGGAGAGGATGAGGTGGCTTTTGGTATTGTGGATATGGTGATCTCATTTATTAAGTTATTATCAGACCAGACACGGTGTTTTGACCATTTAACAATTGAGGGACAGAGGCAGATTCTTCAGAGACATTTACCTGTCAGAATTCTATATCTGTGCTTTAAATTAGTTAAATATACATTTAATTTAATGTTTGGCAGACTACAAGTATTGATAAACATATACTCTTCTCAAAAATCAGGAGATCCGTTTATAAAACAAGAAACTAGAATTCCATACCATAGAGATTCATACAAAACTTCCATTTTATGAAAAACTGTTTCCATATATATCATAAATTAAAATCTTTGAGTTGTATGGTTATGCCAACTTCAGATTTTAGGGTGATTCCTACGTAAAGGAGTATGATCTCTGGAAACAGATTTATTCCATGTGCAGAATCCAGAGCTTAAGCTCATAATCTCAAGAAGGTAATTTTCTTTTTATCATTGCTGTCCTTAATACTCAGAAACTGAAGATTTCAGATAGTAACAAAAATCATCACTGCATTTGCAATGGTGGATGTAGTGGTATAGGACAAGAAGTTTTTAACTTCTTATTTACTATTTGTAACTTTCAACTTGTGAAAGTTTTGGCATGTTTTCCCCAATGTTTGATTGAATCAGAGTTCTTTTATAAATGTGGAAAAAATTACTCTGATATCTCTCAGTGTGAAAAAATACGTTAAAATATGAAAGAATATAACTTAATTTAGACTGAAAGGACAGATTTGTTTTCAAGTAAGGAAACTCAAAATCCCCTATTTTGTACTTTAGACTTCTGGGTGGCACAAAACATGTCATAAACTATTGAAAGAAAGTTTAGATTTACACTCCACAGAATAACACTTGAAAAATGCCACTATTGCCATGGGCTGTATGAAATATTGTTAACTTGGAGCAGGTGCAACTAACAATTAGGTTAGTACACATTGTGTGTGCAGCTGTGTGAAGGAGTACATTTGAAACTTAATTAAGAATGATCAGTTACTTTCTATCACAGGATTGCTAACCATTTTCAAAGGTACATATTTTTTTTCCTTAAGATGTTGTGAGTGTAGACTAAATTAAAAACAATTTTATTATAATTATGGAATATTTCAGTGATCATGATTTTATGCAGTGTTCATAATCATGTGCTATTTTATTACTTTTTAGAAAATAAAGCGTTGCTGTGAAGTAGCTTGAAAAGTGCAGGTAGAATCTTATGATATTCCTGGTATACTTCTGACAAGTTTGACGGTTTTTCAGAAGTTTATAACTTTATCTGCCACAAAACTTCCTGGCTCAGAGAATTTTAACTTTTTAGGATTCAGATGCCATTGATGATAAAATCTTGAAGTTGTTAACCAAACTTACTCATGAAGAAGACTGAAAATCCCCATACAATACTTTAGAAACTTATCATGTAAAAATATGTTGAGTTTGCTAAGTTGTAAAATGATAACTTTCTTCTTTTTAAATGTTTTCTATTTATGCATCCTGAATATTGTTGCACATGGTTTTGTTTTTAATTTATTCTCACTGTAATTCAGCACTACTCTTCTCTGCCTTATATATACCAGGAGATACCTAGAAACTTCTTCCAGTGTCCAACTCTTCTTTCTTCGTTCACAAAGCAGGTAGCGACTTATTTTCTTGAATACAGCTAAAGTTTCAAAAAGTCAACCCATGTGGAGCTGTTCTCCTGCTTTCTCAAATAAAGGCTTGGATGGGCAGCATTTTTTCTGCAGAGTGCCAGAGTCATCTCTGGCATGGGGCCCGTATGTGGGTAATGACCCAGAAATGCAAATGTGCTTTGCTACCTCCTTTCCCTCTGATGCTGCTTTACTTTGAGGTCAGATTCTCTACTTGCCCAGTCAGGAATTTCAGAGTGGAAGTCAGGGATTCCTTAAAATAGGAAGTCTTTATTTTTTGTTTTTTATTTTTAATATGTGTGTGCTTGAGAGAAATAAAATCTGAGAGACAGAAACATATTTTAACATTTCTATGTTGATCCTGGAAATATAAATACAAAAGTTAATGGCACCAATTGCATTAAATATTCGTATATACAGATAATGCCTACAATTCCAAAGGTTGTATTTCAGTTATGTTATTTGGTAGAATTTCAAACAGTGCAGTATACTTTTTTCATAAGCAGTTTTGAAACTAATATTGCTATTAATGGAAATTACCCTATTTCCAATAACATACAAATGTCAGAAATGAAACACACACATAGGAAAAATATTTGTTTCCCATTTTTTTTCTGATATAATGAACTCTTCTGATTTTTGTTATTTTTTTCCCCTCATGGAAACTTGATTGTTGTTTATTATCAATATAATAAAATACATAAGCCATCAAGATACAATGTATGTAGGGCTACCTTTTTTCATACAATGATAGAATAAGTACTCTATTTATTCCTAATTTCTATAGGATGGAAATAAAATTATATGAAGCATTTGTTCTTACCATTCCCAAGAGATTAAAGCACATTTAAAAATTATGAAGGAACAAGATAAACTTCTATATCATTTTCTTTCTCCAGGTTATGGTAGAAATGAAGTTTATAACTTGGTTTTCTCCTCTTTTAGTATTTCAGGAGTTCATATTTTGTAATACTGCTGTGCACATGTGCGCACGTAATAAATTTGTTACGCTTTTTCTTTTGTTAAAAAATACTTCAGTTGTGTTTAGATATAAAATGCTTAATATATAAAGAAATTACTAGCTTCATCTTCCTGAAATAAGTATTTTTCTTTTTCTTTCCTTGAATTATAAAACAGGCAGTGGGTCTAGCTTATAGGAATATTCTAAGATTTAATCTTATGCAGGTATAGACTCTTTTTGTTTTTCCAACCTGAAATAAGAATAAGGTGACTTCAAAAGCTTATGATTTTTACCCTTTCAGCTAGTTGTGGATCACATGCTAACTTGATCCCTGTAAAAACTCCTTGAAATGCTACATATAAACTGATTTTTAAGTGCATTTTGAAATAAATTTTTTCATTTCATACATTTTTAAATAATTTGTTATGCATTTAAAAATCTAGTTTTATAAAATAATAATGAAAACTATTATTTATTGGAAGCTTGTTCTTGGCTAAATATGTTTTTTTTTCCCCCCACTGAATCCTCTCTGGTAATCCTATGAGGCAGGTAATAGATATTAATATCCTCACTTTACCAGGGAGGAGATGGAGGCCTTGAAACGTTAAGCTGTGTTTTTAAGTCATCCTCTTAGTAAGTGGAGAAGCTTGGATTCAAACCCGGGTCTGTCTGAATCTCAGCCTGACTCTGAACCTGTGCCACACTGCATCCCTTCCATGTAAAATAAAACTATAGCAGCCTCTCATGTTTTTTTTTTCTTAAAGAAAGTAAGTACCTACCTACTAATTCCTTAGTGACCCATTAGTCAACACTTAGGTTTAGAGAGGTGGGGTTGATTGATGTCAGGCTCCTGTCCAAACCTGACCGACTTAGGTAATCTTGGGGTTTGACAACTATGAGCAGCTGGTGTATGGACTAGAGAATAAAAGGGCAGAAGGGGAATCTCCTCGCTGCAGAGCAAGTATCCATTGCTGTTCTCATGCATTTGGGCCAACTTTTGACAGATAACCATGAAATAGGGTCTTGGAAATTTGATATGTAAGCTTAAAATGTATTATATGGAAAGAAAAAATATATTCTTTTTTTTTTTTAAATCCAGCTCTTTTTAAAACCACTCCTTGATGAATGGCCAGTGCACAGTATTGTTATTTGCCTGTTTTTTGTTTGTTTGTTTGCTCGTTTGTTTTTTACATGCTCCAAATCCTAAATTCATCCAGACCACCATTGACCAATAATATTTGCCATAATTATTGTACTTGGGAAGAAATAGAGTAAATATGTTATTTAAAATATGTGTTGAATATGCTTGAACACATTTTGAACCTGAGTGTGCATCAGAATCTCCTGCAGGATTTTTAAACATAGATTTTTGGGCCCTCTCCTAGAGTTTCTGACTGCAGAGGCCTGGGCTAGGACCAGAGAATTTGTATTGCTAAGGAATTCCCAGATGATACTGATGTTGATGATCAGGCACCAAATTTTGAGAACTACTGGCCTAGAATATGTGTCTTCACCTAATGGTGTTACAAGAGAAAGTGAACCTGTTTTTGAAATTCTTCAATCCAACTAGATAATTAACTAAATTCTTCCTATGGCCTTCTACTGATATGAGAGAAAACTTTTCTTCAGGACCTATTTCTGACTTTTAGCTTAGTTCTATTCAGAAGTTTAAATAGGAGAAATGCAAGGTCTTTCCAGCGCGTTTGTGTCTTTGTAATGTATTGAAATATAGAGGAATCTGAAAGCAAGCACCCTCATGTCTGGTAATGCTAGAACAGAATTGGATCCTTCACCTGCCTCTCTTTACTAGCCTAGCCACTCATTAGGGTAAGCACAGCGCTGGGGTGGGGGTTGTGGGGGGGTGGGGGAGAGAGGGAGAGAGAAAGAGAGAGAGAGAGACTGAAAAAGTACTGGGCTAAGTTAGAAGCTGGATTTTAATATACCAAGGAGCTTAGTGCTTCTGTATTGGGTGACTAAATAACTATGACTTTGCTTGAGACATTTATATTTCTGGGTGCTGTTTCCTCATTTGAAAAATAGGGCAAATAATTCCTGACCTATTTACCCTATAGAATAGGAGTATCTAGGGGAGATAATATGCTAAAAGTTAACATCTTTACAGTTTTAATGTTTTAACCTTTCAGAACAGTCCATCTAGTGAGCCCAGGAGTAGTTAAAGGGAAGTTTATGGCCAATGGCCCTAGTTAGAACAACTAGTTTTTTTTCATAGAATCATTTTTTTCTTCACCCACCCATAAATTTTGTGAGGCTTTATAAATAATTAAAACACTAGGTACAGGTAGTTTGAACTAGATAATATGCTATGCGCCTGATATACGTACTTTAAGTATTCATTAAAATGAAACTTGGATTTTACAAACAAGTCAACATTGTTCTTCAGGCCAGTATTTCTAAAACTGTGTTCTGTGGACACTAGTTCAGCAAGACATTCTACTGAGCAAGAACTCTTATGCCCCCCACCGCCCCCACCCTCAAGGGTCACAGTGCATATTAGCATATTAGCAGCTACAGGAAGTCCTGCACTAAACCTCTGCTTAATTCCATTTAACTCAGCAAATATTTACAGAGTGCTTGCAGTGAACCAAGAAATGTCTTTTTCTGATATCCCCTATTAATCTTCCATGGAACTAGCATTTTCAGCAATACTTTTCAGTGAAATATTACTCCAGGCTAATGATGCAGTCTACAAGTTAATATTCAGTGATTGCCTACACAATATTTAAAGGTTAAGAATTCAGTACAGAAACTCAACTGATTAAGCAGATATCTAACAAATAATGCATAAAGATATTTAAGAATATAGAATATTATCAAGTTATTAAAACAAATGAATAGAAACTTGTTTTCAGATGCTTGGCTATTTTATATTATATATGTTCACTTGAGTTTCTTGAAATTATGTTTCGGACACTAAAATCAAAACCCTTAACTGAAGCTCAGTCAAGTCCAATTGCTGATGTTGCAAAGAGGTTGACATGTTGCAGTAGTTTTGGAACTTCTGATATTTAGAACTCCAGAACACCTTGGAGAGGGCATTTGCAGAAGCACTTTCGTTTTAAGGCAGTGGATGAGGAGCAATGTCTGTATCCTACATCTCTAGGCAGGCTAGCTTTTCCAGCATCTCAGCCTACATATTTGCCTTAGGCGGGGGAGTGGTGAAGAATCCTCATACTGACTTTTGTTTTTTAATCAATGCATTACACTCTAAAACAGTAACACATTTAAAACCCCCAACAATGTTGCATTCTTTGGAAACAAATGAGTCTTAGTTTGAAATGGAGGAATCAAATTGGTACACCCTACTCTTAACAGAAGTCTTTGTGTGCATCTGTATTATTCTAATTACACAACAGAATAAGGAGATATTTCAAATCCTTTAACTGACAGCTGTGTATCAAATGATGGAAGGGTCTATGTTACATGTGAACTGTTCGGTGGTAGGGAATTCATAGTATCCTAACCTACACGGGCTTGCAGCCATAAGAGTTATACAAGGTGGATCACCCAGAGTGTTATTTGTATTATAGTCTCTGACACCACTTGGAAACAAAAGTTATAAGAACCTCTGCAAGCCACAATGAGAAGAGAAAATTATACTGGGGTGGAGTGCTGCCTTCTGTGGTCTTGGCCTCTGGAGAAGGGCTGTGCTGATTGTCCCGGGATTGAGCACTTCTTTTGTTAATGGCACCTGCAGTGGTGGAAGGCACCTTGATGCTGGGAATCATAATTCATCCCGGTGGGCATAGTGATTCTGACCTCACTCTCTTGTTAGTCTATAAGCTAGCGATCAGGTACCCTATAAGAGATGGCATATGAAGGTTTTACCTGATTGCTTTGAAGTGCGGGGATGATATTAGGGTTTGTGGATATGTTTACCCCTAGTTATTGGGAACTGTTATAGAATTACATATTTGAAGGCTTTTAGAAACTATTGTAGATTTGGCCAGGTGTGATGGCTCATGCCTGTAATACCAGCACTTTGGGAGGCCGAGGCCGGTAGATCACCTGAGGTCAGGAGTTCGAGACCAGACTGGCCAACATAGCAAAACGTCATCTCTACTAAAAATACAAAAATTAGCGGGGCATGGTGTTGCGTGCCTGTAGTCTCAGCTACTCTGGAGGCTGAGGCATGGGAATTGCTTGAACCTGGGAGGCAGAGGTTGCAGTGAGCCAAGATCATGCCACTCCAGCCTGGGCAACAGAGCGAAATCCCATCTCAAAATGTAGATTTGATGATACATAGGTGGTATATAAAGAGCTCTGGACCTTTTTTTTTTTTTCGTCTTTTTTTCTGTTTAAATAAAACTTGCTCACAACTTTAGTGATTAGTGAACCTATAGCCTGAGATTTTCTCAAATATTGGAGCAATGTATAGGATTATGTGTTTCTTACCCTTATCAACAGGAATTAATGGAGTTTCATTTTTGACCATGTTTTATAAAATGTGGTTCCATTTTATTCACCCAAAAGATAGTAAATTACAGCTGTTCAGTAGTATTTATGAGTTTGCCTTTTCTATGCACCTGGAATTAAAGGCTTCTTTCATTTTCCTACAAGGCAGGGGGTGGAGGGATGGGTGGAACTCCTGAATGTTCAAAAGCAATTAAGTACTATTCTACTTAAAACAATGTTTTAACATTCATTGTGAATTGGAATCCACAATAAATCAAATTAACGAATGAATTCATAGATTAATTTTCTTAAGAACATATTTCTGGTTTTATCAAAAGCGTTCTTGGGAAGTTTCACAGGCTCTTAGAGATACGGGGCAATGCATTTTTAGTTTACCATTTTATAGACTGCCCTGGAATAGATTTATTTTTATTCAGAAAAGCTGCCTTAAAAATCAGGCAAATAGGGTAAGTTCAGTTTACATTTAGTAAATATAAATCTTGCAACAAAAATATGTGGTGACATTTAATTATATTCCTCTTTTATTATAATCCTAAAGGTAGACCTGTGGTTTTCACTTTCTTTTCGTAAGAAAGAGGTGTTAATGATCACTCTGTTACTGTGCCTAGCTTTACTCACACTCTGTTAAGTACCTTAAACTCATGTCATATTTTTTCCCTTACATTGAGAGAAATAAACCCCAATGAATTTTTTTTTGAAGTTTACATAGTGATTTGATGCAAACTTTACACACAAACTAGGGTCATTGCATATTTCCTACTGGTAGGCCCATCTTTTAATTTAATATTTCATAATGTGAATAAAAATTTACATGCAATGGATGAAGAGCCAGACGTGCAGGCCCTGCCCTGGATGTTGGGAGCCGAAGACCCTGGAAAACATTTGCCTGGAATGGTTCTTAGCCTGCAGTGCTGTGTTGCAGTCATGATCATTTAAAAGTGAATGAAGTAATGAATGAATAGTGGGAGGAAATTAAGTAATTACTAAATCAGCTTCATCAAGTAGGATTTATGAAATGTCCACATACGAATAGCATAATGAACATGTGCTGAATAAATTGTGTGTTTCTACCCTTTGGCAATTAGGATATGATGTAACTGAAAAGAACGTCAAGCCGTGTTTCTATCGTAAATCTAGTATCTAGTGGTTTTAATAATTCAAGATTAGTTTAAATTGCAACCTGTTCTTTATCATTTATTTATTTATTAAGCCATATTACTTACTTACTTATGCTAGAAGCTAAACATGCTTTACTGTCTTTCATTCATTGTGTACTATAAAATCACATTTATACTTACTGTAAATAAGATCAATTTTGGTGAGACATAAATGTGGATGTCTGGGTCATTTTGCCCCATTTTAAAGTGTTAATTCATATAAGTTTAATTCATATTATCTAGCATTTGATGCACTTGATGCAACATTACTTCCAAGAGTTTTGTTAAATCAGAACGTAAATAATGAAGTTAATATTGTCTTTATTTTTCATATCTCTAGAGCAGTAGTTTTGAATGTTTTTTGTTTGTTTTTAGCTTGTTTGGCATGGAATCTTGCAAATCTGAAAAAAGCTACTAACTCTCTTACCAGGAAAATGGGCTTCAAAAACTTGTGAGCTCAATCTATGAAACTTAGATGAAAACCCCTAGTATAAATTCTTAATTTTTTTTGTCTGCCATTTCATGAAGAGCTTCTGCTTATCAACAATTTTGATTCAGTTATTTTGAGCTCAGGAAACATTTAAGAGATTATATACATACTTGATATATACAATTATATATTGTAAAGATATATGTATACACACACACGTATGTGTATATAGTGTGCAAGAATGTGTGTGTGTATAATGCAAAATTTGAGAACCCAGGAGTAGAGTTGGGGAATAGAACCAAACTGACCTCTGTCAAGCAGATTAAATGTGGCATGGTAGATATACCGTTAATATAGGGCAGCATGATAAGAACTTAAGATAATTAAGAATAAAATACAAAGGAAATTTATGGGAAGGATTATTTATCTCCTCATAGGTTGATCAAACAATATATGTGGTACTAGTATACGATAGGGAGGATTTCTATAGCTAGAGATTGCAAAAAAGAGTATCCCAGGTGGAAGAAATGATGGTAGTAGAAAGGTGAGAATGAAAGAGAATATATGTGGGACAATGAAGGGTCCAGATGAATGGCAAGTAGGGAAGAATTGTGAGGTGACTTAGGGAATGGAAGGGATAGGAGTCTGGTTTAGTCTGGTTCATGGTTGAACTTGAGCTCCTTGGAAGGAGTTTGGGACCTTATAGAATAGGATATAGGTCTATAGGTCTCTGTAGATGTTAATCATCAAGGCGTATGTCCCAGTGCCCTACAGTAGAATAAGAAACAACACAATGTGAGAGTGAAGGCTTGGGGTTTGGAGCAAGCCCTGTGGGGAATGTGAGGGCAAAGTAGTAATAAATTAAAAGATTGCTAAACTGCTTCAAAGTCCCCGGTGAAATTAGGTGGCAAGCATTTGTAAGAGAACCAATTATTTCTCCGTCAGCACCCAACTTTCTAAGAATTGGAATGAAAAAGCAGAAAATGGAAGTTGCAGGGCTTGTGAGGGCTTATGAGAGCTCTAAGATGACAGTGAGAATAAAATGTCTGAGCACAGGTAGGTGTGGGTGGGAAACCATGCTGTCAGAATGGGAAGGGGTAGTTAGATGATTGAAATGCCAGGCAAACATTTGAGAATAAGGAGGTGGGTACAGCAGAAGTGAGACACTAGAAGAGGTGAGAGGTAAGGTGGTGGTGGTAAGAGACAAGAACAGAAGTCTAGATCTTGAAGAGGAACACTTCATGGATGACGCAAGGCCCTTGATTGGCCACCTAATTGGTAGAGTGTCTAGTTATTGAGAAGGATAGGAGGCAATGAAGCTCAGCTGTTAGAAGAATCATCATTGTACATTTTGGTTTTATTAAAGATGCTTGGAAATAAGAGACCTAAGAGGAACACAGTGAGGAGAGAAAAAGATTGTTCTGGGGGTTGTATATACTGGTGAGAGTTTGGGGAGAGTTTGGTGTAAGCAGATGAAAGGAGCTGGAACAGAATGATGTTTAGGGAAAGTCTGGAGACAACTGGATGGTGGGGGATGATTTTGGAGGAATAGAAATGTTTGTTTAATGAATATGTGAATGGAGTGATTATGGAAAGAGTAAAGTAGGCTTCAGGCAAAGCATTTTTCTCAATGTTCACAACATTGCCATTTTGGAATGATAATGATAATTATTTGTTATGAGGAGCTGCATTGTGTATTATAGGATGTTTAGCAACATCCCTGGCCTTTATACACTAGTTGGAGTAGCATACACCCCGTTTTGACAACCAAAGTGTCTCTAGATTTTGTCAGATTGCAAAATAGTCCCTTTGTCGAGATCCTCTGAGCTAATGTAAAGAGCTGGAAAGAGCACTTAGAAATAACAGGACACTTTCTTCAGAAAGAGTTTGAATTGTCCAGAGGGCAGCTGAGGAGATTGTGAAGGGAAAGACCAGACTGGAGCCTGACGGTTGCAGACCTGTGAGAGTCATGCTCTTTATCCCGAGGCCCGTGTCAGAATCATCTGGAATTTTCAAAGATGTCAACACCAGCGCCCCTTCCTCCATCCCTTTGACCTATGAAAACGGAATCTTCAGGGAGGCAACCCAGCCATGTAGCCATTTTGAAAACTCCTTAGATTATTTTGGTATGTTTCTAAGCCAGTGGTAAATGAGGAGAGCAGGCACATGAATAGTGGGTATGAAGGCATGGGGAAAAAACAGGATGAAAGTAAAAGAAGATTGGAAGGTAGGTTGAGACATACATTAGGAAAGGGGGGTGCTGAATAAGCATTTGTGGGAGTATTGACTGGAGAGGCAATGTTGAATCTAGATTTATTTGAAAGCTACTTTTTATGGTCAATTATGTACTCAACCAAGCCTTCAGTATTCTTGGCTGTTTTACTCAGTTTAGTTTGAGCCAGGTGGATTTTATCTAAGACTCAGTGAATGTCACCTTTCTTTTAGTGCCAGTAAAAACCGCTGATGAATATTTGACACTTTTAATTTGTCTTCTCCCAGATGCAATATTCTGTTAAAATATGCATATAGTATATGTTTCTTCATGAAATGTCTTAAAAAGATTTAAGATAGGAATGCATATTAATTTTCAGACATATAATTATTGTTGACATGCAGGACAAACACGTATTTCTGAATGTAGAAGTTTTAGGTCCAAGTATGAGTTTTTAATTCAATAAAATATGTGGATAAGAGTTAAGAACAATGTGATTGTAAATTTAAAAATTATTTTTTAGACTCTAACAAATTTTCAGACTTCTTGTGGAAACACACACACACACACACACACACACACACACACACACACACACACAGAGGAATCATAACCAGGAACTTCTGTTTGAAATAATATTAAGCTATTAACATTTTTTAGGTGATCCCAAACCCAAGAAGGTTCTGCAAGAATTTTAATATTTGATATCCTAATTCACCAGAAGGCCCAGTTATTGCCAAAGAAGCATAATAAAACAGCAGAGATTTATCTTTTTAAATTATCCTGCTGTATAATTTTGCTTGATCCAATTTGATTTCCTTCGGTAACACTTTTTGGTGGACTCTAATTTGCATGCCTGGAGAAAGGGGAGTAAATTACAAGACTTCTTGAAGGTCCTTTTAACTTGATGGTTTTATGATTAAATCTTGCATCTTAAATTGCCTTTCTCTGGAAGAACCAGGCATTTCCGGCTTCATTTTTGTGTAGAGGAAATTCATATATCACCTCATGTGTTTTTCTGTAAGAAAGAACCAGACAAAATAGCAGTAATAGAGGCAAAACAAACAAACAAAACGTTATAAACTTAGAACTAGATGTAGATGAGGCTTATCTTATTTGCAATTCTGCAAGGATGTACTTGGGTCCACTGAAAGTGCAGGTGAGTGGAAAGGTGTGTGTTTGTCTGTGTGTGTGTTAAGTGGGTGTAGGATGTGTAGGATGTGAGCAAAGGGGGAATGAAAATGATACCGTTCATAGGTGTTAACTTCGTCAGGTGTTCTGGCTATATGTGAGAAGAGGAAAGTGGGTTAACTCAGAATACATTCTTTATTTCTTAGTATATTGTTCTTCTGGATGTGGTAGGTTTTCAACAGGTCTCGTTAATAGATAATCTGCAGTGCTCAGGGTGAAAAGCAGGAGTCTTCCATCTGTATGCCTCGGGAATAGTATCAATGCAGAATGAAATACAGACAGAGATTGGAGAAAGACTACTGTATTCACTTGAAGCCAATGGAAGTTTAGGTGGGCCCGATTGCAATTATCCCCCATTGGAAATTAGCCAGGACACACATTAGTGCATGCTACTTTCTGTCTAGCCTAATTAAAGGATTGTTGAGAACTAACAAAGTTGGCTGACTTGCAAAAGTCAGTGCTTGCTAAAATTTGTAAGTTATAAGTGCTTAACAATATGACCTGATTTTTCTGCTGGGGTCATCTTATTAATTAAAGTTTTCCAATCGTCTAATTAGAAAATACAGTCTGAACTGAGTCTGGAGGATTCCGAGTCTTACTTGCTAATTTAAAGAAAAGTGGAAGGAAGAAGAACAGCTCCCAATTAAAGCAACGCAACGGAAAGCTGGTTCTGGACATGCCCTTGGAGATGCCCCATACCAGCAGGGTAATTATTTAGGATGCACTTCCAGTAAAGAGATGTTAAAGGGACACCAGTGAGTAGCTTTTAAAAGTAGAAATCTGTGCCAGTCCCCAAATTAACTCTTGGACTAGAATGCAAAGCTGGAAAGCATGACCAGCACTACAGATTTATGAGAAAGAGTTTGTTCATTGCTTCACAAGTTATGCTTGATTTTTTTCAGCTCCAATAGTACTTTCTTAAAATAGAGGAACGAAAAGAGCAGTTTGATAATGTTGGTATATTTTAGATGGTAACCTGACACTTTAAAAAAGGTAGATAAAATTCTCTGTATTTTCTAAAGATAAGGTCCTGGAACTGAGATGTCACATTTAAGTCCTTAATAGCCTCGAATTTAGTTATCATCAGCGTCCTTGTAATAATACCAGGCTAGAGCAGTACTGCATTCAAAATAAAAATCTTTCAAAACAATCCAATCAACATCTGCTATGTGCCACCCACTGGACTAAGCAGAAAGTATTAAAAGAAGGACAAAAAGGGTGTGGCCAATGCAAAGGATACATTGATTAGTGTATATATGGCAGTTCACTAGTTACTCAGAGTTTCTGATTCTCCTGCTTACATAGCTAAATGAACTCTTAGTGTTTATATATAGGCAGTAGAAAATACACTACTGGGACAGAGAAGAAAATAAATTATTTCTTTATGATGAAATTAAAAGGACAGAAGATAACTTTTAATTTTTGTTGGAGATTTTTAAATAAGATGCCTGTATTATAAGTGGCCTTGATCAGTTCTGTAGACACATGTTTGTAGATGCACTTCCCATTAATGTGGCAGCAACAGAGGAGGGTGTGGTGGAACCAGTATGCTCCCTCTGCCTTTCCATGCTGACCATCCAGATGCTTTACAGATGAATAAGTCAAGCCAGGATCTAGGTGGTTGTGCCAGACCAGAATCTCTCCTTGCCAGCCATTCTGTACATCATGAGTGGAGATCACAGGTTTACCAGAAGTATATTTATTTATGTATCTTGTAACTGAATTGAATTTGTTAAAATTTGATACTTGCTTGAAATTAATTGGGATATTGTTGCCAACATTTTGCTATTTAGCCGTACCCCTCAATGCTTTTGATTTTGTTTAAAGCCTATAGGAAAATGCTACCTAACTTAAAACTTGAAACTTAAAATATTACTCTTATCCATTCGTCTGTAAGAGACTTGCAAATAAGACATGTCAAGTTAAAATTGCAGTTTTAGGCCTCATTCAAGAAACAATTAGAATGAATATATCACAAACCATAGCGGGGAAAACACTTTAGCTGTTTCACAATGAATTGGCCTCAGAAACAAAGCAGCTGATGGTTTACACCGAGGACATTGATCAGGATTCATTTGGGCTGTTGCTATTGTGTTTTAATGAGTAACATTACATGCCAGCCAATCACATGTCACTAGATCATTATACAAATTGACAGTTTGGAAGAGTATAAAAAACGCTGACCTGAAAGGGGAATTCTGTAGAAGTGAGACGTAGCCACTGGATATTTACATCATTTTTCTTGTTGTTGAGAAATTGAAATAACCCTTTAATGAAAATGGCTCCTTCATATTGTCTCTCACTATTTTAGATCAGGCATCTTATTTTTAGTTTGGAGAATGAGAACAGCTGGTGTCAGGCCAGGTGCTGATAGTACTAATGTTGATGTAAGATGCTGCTCAAATGGACAGTGCAAAGGGAATCATTGTCCCTTGATTTGATCATGCTGGCTCTAAAATTTATTTTTTGATTTGGCATTTGACTTTGCATTATACTCAGAGAGTTGGAAATCACAAAGCCGTGCAGCTGCAGAGTATATCTAGATATAGACCCTGTAACGTTACCTCATAAACCCAGCACTCAGTATTAGCAGTCTTTGTAAATGGAAGAATTCTGTTCTGTAACAAAAGGTAGTATTTTTCTTTATACTGTGAGGGAGGCCTATAGTTTGAAACCACTGTGGGTGTGTAGAGGGACAAGCGGGGGGCCCGAGGGCTGGAGCAAGGAGTGTGGCTGTGGGAGGATGAGGGAGCCGTGAAGTTCAAAAATACTGTTGGCTTTTAAGGTCTCCATGACCCTTGAATATGAGTATGAATAAAGTGATTTTAGAATCTAAGAAGATGTCAAATATTTTTCTTAAAGCTAGTAAGAGTAGCAGGGGATGGATTATCTGAAAATCAGAAAAATCAGAAGTCAATTATTATGCACACACAGTTAATTGAATTTGAACACTTTTTCTTTTCAGCATCCATTTTTATATTGATGACTTTTCCCTTTAGAGTGAGAAAATATGATTCAGATTAAATAATCACTTAACATAAATTAACTCTTTCAAACCTTATGTGGAATTAAGAACTAAAGAACTATTGCTTAGGAAGTATTAATTTTAGGAAGTATTAATTTGAACTTTGTTGTCACGTTTAATGAGATAATGTACTATATCCAGGTAAGTGATTTACACAAATGCCAGAATTCTTTGCACTCGGATGACTGTTAAAAAAAAAACTCCTAGTGTTCTGACAACTAATTTTTTATGCCTTGTTTGTGTACTCTTCTCTTTGCATTTCCTAACATTGGACATTTCTGAAGGCCTAGTTCTTTATTTGCTATTCGTCTTTAAGTTTTGCTATTAGAATTATACATTCTGGAGTTGATAAGCCAGTTGGTTAATAAATATTTATTGGATACACACAGTGGGACATTTACAGAGCCTGGTATTGTGGAATACAAGGAAATAAGAAACAATAAGGAGTTTTCCATGTGGTTAGCAATATTAGAATGCTTAGACTATCTTAGGGAGGTTCACTGATGTGGTCGGTCTAGTTGAGTATTAAAAAATGGGTAACATTTACATGGTTTAAATCAGAGTTTAGAAGGGAGACATGAGACTGGGTTTATGAGAGACATGATCCTCCCATTCAGATTGAAGTATTTTTGGAGGTGTAGTGGGGGTTGTGAAAGGATAGAGTTGGGTAAGATTATGGTTTTTTAGAGTATAATGTTTATGAGAGCTTAGCTGCTGGAATCTGATTCTCAAATCCTGTCTCCAAAATTCCTGTAACTTTGCACAAATTATTTCTCTATGCCTCAATTTCTTAATCTGTAATGTATTTACTTCAGAGAGCTGTTGGAAGAATTTGAGTAGTTAATGCATTTAAAATGCTCAGAATGGTCACTTAGAACTTAGCACTCTATAAATGATATTTTTTGACATTATGAAGAGTTTTGAAATCTAGCAAAAGAGTTTAAATTTTATGTGATAAGTAACGTACAGCCAGGATAAATTCCTTATTATATGTTCAAAGCAGCATTTAAGGAAAAGTAAGTAGAAAACAGAGGACCAATTCAAATGGAGGAGGCTGGGGTGAGGAAGACCACCTACTAAGCTGTAGTATTCGGAAATATCAGGTTTTAAGTTAATGAGAGGCTAGGATAATAGCTACAACAAATATAATGATTAATAAAACCGAAACCTGTATTTTCTTTACAAAACACTTTTGACATAACAGTACGTCCTGGATACAACAGTATCTCTAATTTGGAGACAAAGAATTGGAAACTTAGTGCTGGCTTCTATCATTGTGGTAAGAGTGAAAATAATGGATACAAATCAGATACCTGAGGATCTTTAGAGAAGTAATTGTTGAGATGTGTTGACAGATGGGATAGTTTGACAGAGTGGTTGAGAGGGTGCTAGGTCAGTTCTCAGAGAGGGAGGAGTAAGGAAGTGACATTACTGTTGGGAGGTAATTGAGTTGGGAGAGGGAAACCAGTTAAGTGAGAGTGATAGGAACTTGTTTTGAATTCTTTTGTACTTGATGTGACCGTAGCAAAGGTGATGGAAATGTACCTAGACAGTTGTAGAATGTGTGTAGAGGTCAAGCTTATCAACTCAGTCTTGGGCCTTATCAACAAGTGGGAAGCAAGAAGAGGGCTGGGACTGTGTATTCAGAAATGCCACTCAGGGGATTTGAAGAGAAGAAGAATTATTGAAGAGAAAAGAAGTAATTTGAGTAGTTGGAGAAGGATCAGGTAGTGCATCATCAAGAGACTCAAGAAGAGGAAGGAGCAAACCAGAAGGGTGAAACACTGAAGAGAAATTCAAGGAAGAGGAGGAAGACTGGGAAAGCATTTGGATTTGAAATTCAGGGAGTTTTTGATAGGGTAGTTTCATTAGCATTGGAAAAATCAATGTGAAGGACTTAAGAAGAAATAAGTAGTTAGGAATAGATGGAAAACACATAGCATATTCTTTAAGAAATTAAAAAATACTGAGCTGGGAAGTAAGATCCTTGGGGTTTAGCTTTAGATTTGCCATTAACTGCATGACCTTTGATACTTTGTCTGTAACTAATAGAATTTATCTGCATGTAACTGAAAGTACTTATTTTTCATTTAGGAAGCACTTTTGACCTTTTTGACAATCTTATTATATATAGAAATACAACACATAGTCAGGATCCTGAAAGTAAGTGGAAGAGGCCCCTGAGGTTCCAGACAGACGGATCTCACAAAGTCCATGCACTAACACTTATGCACCCTACCAATAATCACCACCCACAGGCTTTCACTGAAACTGCCTTATTCCTAGACTGAACTATTATACATGAACATGATTATCTGTATTGTAAAGGGCAGCAAGCCATTTGAGAGGACAAGGTGAAGAAAGATCTTTCTGGGAGCTACACTGGTGGCAATAAAAATTACATTACCTAGTAAAAACTAAAGGTGCAAAAACCCGTCTAGCTACAATTCAAAAGAGTAGCAGTTTGAGGACATTTTGGGAGGGTACCATCAGCTCCTATGCACCTCACTTGCCTTTGAGGGCCTTATTATAGAAAGTTGGAGTAGTTTACAGTTTAAAAATTACTATCCCATAGAGCATTAGGACAAATACCTAATGCATGCAGGGCTTAAAACCTAGATGATGGGTTGATAGGTGCAGCAAACCACCATGGCACATGTATACCTATGTAACAAACCTACATGTTCTACACATGTATCCCAGAACTTAAAATTAAAAAAAAAAAAGAAAAAGAAAAAACAATTACTATCCCATTATCCAGTCAGCAAGGGAAGAGTTTTAGGTTTAGGATCAGGGCTCCCTGTTTGGAGGGAGGACACCAGGCAACCTTTTTGCTTTTCTACCTGATGGAAAGGTTGGGTTCAATGTGCTCTGCTTCAGAAAAAAGCAAGGAAGTACATGATGTGCTTTTTGAAAGGCTTCCAATCTGTCTTAACCCATTTGGGCTGCTGTGACAAATGGCATATCAACCACAGAAATTTATTTCTCACAGTTCTAGAGGCTGGGAAGTTCAAGATCTCACCGGGTGTCTGGTGAAAGCCTGATTTCTAGTTCATAAATGTGGGCACTTTCTAGCTGTGCCTTCATGTGGTGGAAGAGGCCAACAAGCTCCCCTGAGTCTTTTTTAAAATGACACTAATCCCATTCATGAGTGCCCTGCCGTCATGACCTCATCACCTCACACAGGCCCCAGATCTTAATACCATCACCTTAGGGTTAGGATTTCAACACGTGGATTTTGTGGGGACACAGACTTTCAGACCACAGCACAGTCATTAAGGGTAAACAAAAAATAATTCCTAAAGAAATATGCTTCTATTATCTGGGAAGTAGCATTTGTATTCAAAAGGTGTTTCTAGCTTAAGTTGTTGATACTAGTTAATTGATAAGTTTTATTGAAAAATCTGTTTTCAGAGTATCCTAACACATTGATACCTATTTGGAACACAAAGATATGTACCAGTATAATATCCTAATCCTGAAAGGATGCTACCTCACCCAGCCCCACATTTGCCAACTACTGTATGCCAGCAAATGGATAATTTACTTTTTCTCAGACGCCATTAAAAGGATCATTAGAGTATTCAGGATGGCTTGAAATGGGCATATTCAGCTACCCCAAAGCAAATTTTCAGACTGAGCTTTGTTTTGAGAATCACTGAAACTGACTCAGCTGTGCAATTCAGTAACTGTGGACATGTCAAAACACCTCATTTTGTCATCTATTAAAATCCCCCACTGTGTGTGTTTAGAGATTTCCTTTGCTTTAAAAACAATGATAAAAACCCTCATGCAGCATTTGGTATGATACGTGTTTTCAAACAGTAGCCCATCTCATTTCAAGAGATGGAATAAGTATCATTAAAATGGTAACTCAAATCAGTCGAAGCACTTTTCTGGAATACTTAGATTAAAAGTGATTAAGAACTGCTGTGGTTTGCTGATAGTTACTGTTTTGTATTACATTAATTTCTGCATTTAAAAATAGATAACTACTTTTAGTGTCTTAGGATAACATTTAGTATCCACTGAAATTCATGGATTTAGTGGGGTGATCCCATTCTATGGTATTCTTCGGCCGGAAAAGAATGAGAACACTGCTGACAGAAGTCCCAGCAAGGCCACTCCATCAGCCCCACCATTAACAGATGCATGACATAAACTCTGGGAAAAGAGAGATTTGTCAGATTTTTGCCTTCAGAATGGCCAAAAGAAATCTGAAATATAAAAATATAACTAGTTGAACAGTTTCCAAAACGCCATGGGTTTTTTAGTTCTATTTTTTATGTTTTACTTTATTAAGACAAGATCTGGAGATTCAGCTTTTTTAAATTGTTGTAAATCATACATAACAAAATTTACTATTTTAACCATTTTTAAATGTACAATTCAGTGTCATTAAGTACATTCATATTGTGGTGCAACCATCACCACCATCCATCTCCAGAACTTTTTATTTTCCCAAACGGAAACCCTTTCCCATTGAACAGTAACTCACCATTCTCCCCTTCCCTGAGTACCTGGCACTACCCTTCTGCTTCTGTCTCTGTGAATTTTACTGTTCTAAATATCTCATATAAGTAGAATCATATATCATCTATCCTTTTGAGCCTGACTTATTTCCCTTAATGTAATATCTTCAAGGTTCATCCATTTTGTAGCCTTCTTCAGAGTTCCATTTCTTTTTAAGACTGAATAATACTCCATTTTGTTTATCCATTCATCCATCAGTGAACTCTTGGGTTGCTTCTATCCTTTGAAAATTGTAAATAATACTGCTATGAATATAGGTGTACAAGTATCTGTTCAAGTTCCTGCTTTTAGTTCTTTTGGGTGTATATCCAGAAGTGGAATTGCTAGATCATATGGCATTTCTATTTGTAATTTTTTGAAGAACTGCCATGCTGTTTCCCATAGTGGCTGCACCTTTTTACATTCCCACCAGCAGTGCATAAGGGTTTCAGTTCCTCTGCATCCTGGCTGACACTTATTTTCTGTTTTTTTTGATAATAGTCATCCTAAAGTATGTGAAGTGGAATCTCATTGTGGTTCTGATTTCCATTTCCCTAATGTTTAGCGATGTTGAATATCTTTTCATGTGGTTATTGGCCATTAATCTATCTTTTATGGAGAAATGTCTATTCAAGTCCTTTTCTATTTTTTAATCAACTTTTTGTTGTTCTTGCTGTCATTGACAAAAACATTGTTCTGAACAGAAGTAGTTAGAAGTATGGTGTTGAAGTGTATTAATGATCATGGCAAGAGATCAGGCAAATTGAACCAATGAATTTCCTGTCCTGATGTCTTGATATACAGGAACCCTGCTACTTTGCCCCCAGAACAACTCTGGAATAACTTTGCAGCTTTTATTTATTTGCTTAATTTAGGCTTCTTCTGGACTATTTCTTATACATGTACCACATGAAAAAATTGAAAACAATAAAGTTCAAATACTTGATAGATTTTGTTTTTATTAAATTCAGCATCAGCCAGTAAGAAGTATCAATTTAGCCAGTAATTTGGATATATATGTATTATTACTTCGCACATCAAATCTCTTCAAGAAATGTGATGTAAAAGAAATATTGAGTATGTGAAAATATTAACTGTGTATTTTAACACAGATATCATTTGAATTTGAACACTTTTTATGAAATGGTGCTATGATTAACATAGTAAAACTCAGAAATATTTAAAAATGTTTTCCAAGTTGTTTCAAATTTTGAAAAGGTGTAAGTTAGATCTAGAGACAAAGGTAGGGATAAAGGAAGAGAAGAGGAAACATAAATAGCATTGGCTCTGTTAAAAAAAAAATTACAGAGTAGAATTAGGATTTCAAAACATCACAGGATAGCAGTTCCTCTCTCTCTCTCTCTCTCTATATATATATATGTCATATATATATATGCAAGTTCCTTTGTCTGACTTAAAAGACTTTTGTAGAATCAGCATACCTATTCAATGTGTATTACTTTGTGTTTGTCATGAAATTTTACTTCCCATTTGCCTTTGGTTTTCCTTTTCTTTGGAATAGCCTTCTGTCATGCACTGCCTGTTAAATTTTGTTTAACCTTTGTGGTCCTGCTCAAATGCCATTTCCCCTGTGAAGACTTCCCTGAGGCCTCCATCCTTCCTCTGCACTCACATAGTCCTTAGGCTTATCATGATTTTTCTCTCCCTGCCTCTAAGCAGTAAGCTTCTTGAGGGCAAGCACATGTCTTATTTGCCTCTGTATTACCTGGTCCAGTCAACATTTATTAAATGAATGCACATTTTTGGAATTACTGGTTAACCTCGAGGACTGCTGTAAGATCTCCAGCAACACTGTGTTAACTGACTAAAGAGTATTTGTGTGAATAATTTATATGTGAAGTGTGATACTCAAATAAATAAAAGTTAAGTTACCAATAGCTCATAAGGCAGTGTTTGGCATTCTGGAAGGTTTCCCTTGAAAATAATGTTATGTTGGCTGGATTATTAAGCAACTCCTAAAAGCCTATTTAATATCACAAACCTGAAATACAGTTCTGATGTTATTCTATGTCATTCCCCTGCTTAAAACTAATTATGTCTTGTTATTGAAGATAGAGGCCAAAATCCTTCATATACAGCCTATATGATCTGATCTCCACTTAACTTTTGTGCCTCCCTCTCCCCCTTAAGACTTGTCATTCTTCCACTTCCTAAAATATCTCAAACTTCTTCTCATCTCAGAGGTTCATGCTGTACCCTCTCTCATCTCAGGAGCTTCATGCTGTACCCTCAACCAGGGATTTTCTTACCCCCCCTTACCCCAGCTGGCCTTGCTTCTACTAAACTTTCAGGTTTCAGCTTAAAGGTCTTCTGGGAAGCTCTCCCTGACCTTCAGGCCAGATCAGGTTCCCTGTTACAAGCTATCAGAGAGATCTTTCTTAGAACTTGAGAGATATTTATGCATTCATGTCCTCCAAACTATGCCTGGCATTCTGTAGGTGCTCAATAAATATTCATGGAGTAAAAACAGGAATATATGAAAACTGCTTAACTGTCATTGAATAGATAATGATTCCAATAGAGACTGGTACCTGTTTATCTATTACACCTTTACAACTTTAAAAGGAAAATAACTATACTTCTGTACTTGCATGTGTGAAATCCCTATCTGCTCTTGAGCTAAGATTCTTTCTTATTCTAACTCTACTTTCTCCTTAAGCAATCTTGTCCATACTAACATTTTTTTATTATCACCGTTACTCAGATGATTCTCAAATTAAAATTTTCCACCCAGAGTTCTCCCTTGAGCTCTAGGTCTAATTATCTAATTGTCTATCTGACAGCATCCTGTGGGTGTCTCAAAGGCTTATCAAACTCTGTGTGTTTGTTAGGATATTCCTAGCTGTTGTATCGGACATAGCCCCAAATTCCATTGGTATAACATGATAAAACTTGATTTCTTGCTCATGTGACATCCTGATTCAGGGTTTCTAGTCAGCAAGCAGCTTCCTACATGATGAGTCAGGGAAGTTAATTCTCAACTTTACTTTGTCTTAAGGCTTGTGGACTTTTGCTTGTAGACTGCTTATGCTTCCTGGCCCAGAAATGCTACATAGTACTCTTGTCCATACTCCATTAGTGAGGACCAACCACAGAGTCCCAGCTAAATGCAGAGGGGTGGGGAGGTTTGGGAAGTATAGTTATTGGTAGAACAGCTAATTTCTCATAATGACTCTTCACTGTGAAAAGTCAAGCACTAATCCTTGGCTGATAACTAGTCATCTGTGACACATTCAACGTAACGAAAAGTCAGCCAGTTTCCCAAAATAAGCAAAGTAACTAACTAATCATGCAGACAAACAGACCAGTAAACCCTGGCCTTCTTTCAGTGTTCTTTGTTTTGGATGATGCTACACTTCTGCATAAGCTGGGGACATGTATATTGTTGTTGACATCCTCTTACCCTTAACCCTTATATCAAAGAAGTCTATAATTTGCCTGGCTTCTTTAATTAATGACTAAAATCTTGGAAATGAAACAACCTTAAATGTTAGGGAAATGGGACTCAAAAGCCAAGGAATCATTCCTGACTTTTCTCTCGCCCCGTGTGCTGTCATTATTTGGTCTTGTGTAGTTTGCATCCTAAAAATTTATTGGCTGGGTTCATCTCTTCTTAGTGACAGTAACACTGCCATCCTCCTTGCTTAGACCACTAAATAGCCTAACTTCACTTCCACATGTCCTCTGGCTCCCCTCTTGTCTTCTTTACACAGCAGCCAAAGTGAGCATTTAAAATGCATTTTAAATGCAGATCTAATCGCATTATTTCCCTGCTGTTAACACTTCAAAGCCTTCCTGTTGCTCTAGGCGTAAAGGCAAAACTCCTTAACATAATTTACAAGGACATGCCTGGCCTAACCCCTTCCCTGTCTCACTCCCCTTTGCTAATAAATTTCCCCCTGTTTGAGCCTCACTGTCTTCTGGTATTCTCCGTGCTACCCTCTGCCATATGGCCTCATCTGCAAAATTATTTTCTCTTGTTCTCACGTAGTTTACACTTACATATCCTTGATATCAAAGTAAAATAAGTTTCACTTTCTCAGGAAAGTTTTTGCTGACCCCCCTAGTCAGGTCAACTTCACCCACTGAAAAATTTAGAAACAACTTGTATTTCTCTTTTGTAGCATTTATGATAAATAAATTCTCACATTTCTTTTGTGAATATTGAATAAATAACTGTGTCTGCCACTGGATTTTGTATATTCAGTAAGCAGGGATTGTGTTTTGCTCAATTTTGTCTGTCCAGCGTGTGTATCACAGTACCTGGCAAGGGATTGGTGTTAATTTGTTTTGAATGAATGAATCAATCAGTGACTGACGAATGAATGATTTTGTATATCAGGTGGTTCTGTCATCTGGGGAATGAACTGCTGTTATCTCTGCAGGTTTGTAGAGATATTAATTTAGGAAATCAGACCAGCTCTGGTAAATCTGTAGCTATCGGCTTTTGTAAGTTGCATATTTAAGGTTACTTTATGGAACAATGCAAGTCTTGCAAAGGTCAGAGCATGAAGACTAAAAATGAATTAGTTCTGCTTAGAGATTTACATCAGATCTTTCCATGCTTGAAACTTTCTTTTTTTCTTCTTCTTACTGGGTTTCCTAGCAACATATTTTGCCATTACCATGGGATATTCTGATAGTGAAACTGTAGTGTCTTTGCATTTATCTATCCTGAAATAATATACTTGGCAATTGCATTTCCTAACTAGCTATCTAATTTTATATATATAATGTATATATATATGCATATTTATGACATTTGATGAAAATAGTATGTATGCATATTGTGTAATATTTAAATCTTTTATATAGCCATGATTCTCAAAAGTATCCTTGGCAATAGGATTTATTTTTAATTTCTGGGAAAAGTTATCTAAGTGTCTATATACTTAGTTTTAACTCTTTTTTTTTTTTAAGATAGCCACACTGGTTTTTTTGTGTTGTTGTTGTTAATTTAATTATTTTTATTAAAGACTTTATTTTTTACAGCAGTTTTAGGTTAATACCAAAATAAAGAGACAGGTAAGAGGTTTTCCCATACCCCTCTGCTGTTAAATATGCATGTTCTTCCACATCAGAGTGGTACCTTTGTTACAGTTTTTTTTTTTGTTTTTTTTTTTTGAGACGGAGTTTTGCTCTGTCGCCCAGGCTGGAGTGCAGTGGCATGATCTTGGCTCACTGCAAGCTCCGCCTCCCGGGTTCATGCCATTCTCCTGCCTCAGCCTCCCAAGTAGCTGGGACTACAGGTGCCTGCTACCACGTCCTGCTAATTTTTGTATTTTTAGTAGAGACGGGGTTTCACCGTGTTAGCCAGGATGGTCTTGATCTCCTGACCTCGTGATCCGCCCGCCTCGGCCTTGCAAAGTGCTGGGATTACAGGCGTGAGCCACCATGCCTGGCCTATAGTTGTTGAGCCTGTATTGACACATTGTAATCCCTGAATCCGTTTTCATTAGGGTTCCCTATTGATGTTATATATTCTGTGGATTTGGACAAATGCATAGTGGCCAGTATCCATCATTATAGTATCATGCAGAGTACTTTCACTGCCATGACAAACCTCTGTGCTCCATCCATTCATCTCTGCGCCCCAGCCAACCCTTGCAACCACTGATCTTTTTACTGTCTCTGTAGGTTTTCCTTTTCCAGATATCATATAGTTGGAATCATACAATATGTAGCCATTTTGGATTGGCTTCTTTCACTTAATAATACGCATTTAAAGTTCCTTCATGTCTTTTCATGGCCTGATAGCTCATTTCTTTTTAGCTGAATAATATTTCATTGTCTGATTATCACAGTTTATTTATCCATTCACCCAATGAAGGACATCTCAGTTGCTCTCATGGTTTGGTAATTATGAATAAGACAGCTATGAACATCCATGAGCAGGTTTTTATGTGGGTATAAGTTTTTGACACCTTTGAGTAAATGCCAAGAAGCGCAATTTTTGTATTCTATGGTAAGAATACATTTAATTTTGTAAGAAACCGCTAAACTGTCTTCCAAAGTGGCTGTACCGTTTCGCATTTCTACAAACAATGAATGAGAGTTCTTACTGCTTCACATCCTCACCAGCATTTGGTATTGTTAGTGTTGCAGATTTTGGACATTCTGACAGGCATGTAGAAGTATCTCATTCTTGTTTTAATATGCATTTCCAGGTGATATATGATGTGGAGCATTTTCTTGTATGCTTATTTGACATCTGTATATTTTCTTTGTTGAGGTGTCTATTAAAGTTTCTGACCCACTTTTAAATTATGTTGTTTGTTTTCATATTGTTCACTTTTAAATGTTCTTTGTATATTTTGGGTAATAGTCTTTTATCAAATGTCTTTTGCAAATATTGTTGCCCAGTCTTTGGCTTGTCTTCATATTCTCTTGAAATTTGCTTTTAATTTAGTGAAGTCTACCTTATCGATTTATTTTTTATGGATCATCTCTTTGGGGTTTTGTCTAAAATATAAATACCATAACCAAGTTATCTAGATTTTCTTCTGTGTCATCTCATAGGAGCTTATAGTTTTGTGTTTTACATTTAAATCTCTCTTTTGTGTTGATTTTGTGAAAGGTGTAAGGTTTGTGTCTAGAGTCACTTTTTTTTGCATCTGGATGTCCAGTTGTTCTACCATTTGTAGAAAAGACTATCCTTGCTCCATTGTACTGACTTTCCTCCTTTATCAAAAATCATTGACTATATCTGTGTAGGTCTTTCTGTGCTATTTTGTTCCACTGATTTATCTGTCTGTTCTTTAGGCAATACCATATTTTTTTGATGATTGTAGCTTTATGGGCAGTACTGAAGCTGGGTGGTGTCAGTCCTCTCATCTTCAATATTGTGTTGACTATTTTGGGTTTTTTGCCTTTCCATATAAGCTTTAGAATCAATTTGTTGATATGTATAAAATAAGTTTCTGGGATTTTGATTTAGATTTCATTGAAGCTATAGATCAAGTTGGGAAAACCTGACATCTTGACATTGTTTCCTATTCCTATTCATGAAAAGTATTTTTCAATGTATGTACTTCTTTGATTTTGTTTTTGTAGTTTTCCTCACACGGATTTTGTATATCTTTTATAGATTTGTACCTGATTTTATTTTGGGTTGTTCTTAAGCAAAAGGTAATTTTTTTTCCTGTGTGTGTGTGTGTGTGTGTGTGTGTGTGTGTGTTTCCTGTGGATTTTTTTTTTTTTTTGAGTCTCGCTTTGTTGCCCAGGCTGGAGTACAGTGGCACGATCTCGGCTCACTGCAACCTCCACTTCCCGGGTTCAAGCAATTCTCCTGGCTCAGCCTCCTGAGTAGCTGGTATTACAGGTGTGCGCCACCATGCCTGGCTACTTTTTGTATTTTTAGTAGAATCGGGGTTTCACCATGTTTGTCAGGCTGGTCTCAAACACCCGACCTCTTGATCCACCCGCCTCAGCCTCCCAAAGTCCTGGGATTACAGGTTTGAGCCACCGCGCCTGGCCAGTATTGTGTTTTTAATATGAAATTCCACTTGTTCATAGCTGGTATGTAAGAAGGTGATTGACTTTGGTATATTACCCTTGTATCCTGCAACTTTGCAATAATTCCATATTAGTTCTAAGAGTTTTTTATTTAGTTAGTTATTTTTGGAGATGGAGTCTTGCTCTGTTGCCCAGGCTGGCGTGCAATGACGTGATCTCAGCTCACTGCCACCTCTGCCTCCCGGGTTCAAGTGAGTCTCCTGCCTCAGCTTCCTGAATAGCTGGGATTACAGGCGTGTGCCACCAAGCCTTGTTAATTTTTGTATTTTTAGTAGAGACGGGGTTTCACCATGTTGGCCAGGCTGGTCTTGAACTCCTGACCTCAGGTGAGCCACCTGCCTCAGCCTCCCAACGTGCTGGGATTACAGGTATGAGCCACCACACCTGGCTGTTCCAGGAGTTTTTTTGTCAATTCTTCTATATTTTCTACATAGACAATCATGTCACCAGTGAAAAAGACTATTTTATTCTTCCTTCCCAATCTGTGTATTTTAATTCATTTTCTTTATCTTATTGAATTAGCTAGTACTTCTAGTATGATGTTGAAAAGTGGTATCAAAGAGGGAGCATCATAACCTTGTTTTTATCTTAATAGAAAAGCTTTGACTTTCTCGCCATTAAGTATACTAGCTGTAGGATTTTTTGTAGATATGATTTAGTAAGTTGAGGTTCCCCACTATACCTAGTTTACTGAGAGATTTTATGATGAATGGGCATTGGATTTTGTCAGATGCTTTTTTTTTGCGTGTACTGATATGATCATTTGATTTTTATTTATTAGCTTGTTGATGTAATGGACTACATGAGTTGGTATTTGCATGTTGAACCAGCCTTACATACATGTGATAAATCCCACTTGGTTGTGGTGTATAATTCTTTTTATACGTTGTTGGATTTGATTTGCTACTGCTCTGTTGAGGATTTCTATATCTATGTTCATGAGAGATCTTAGTCTTTTGTTTTCTTGTATTGTCTGTATCTGGTTTGGGTATTAGCACAGTTCTAGCCTTTTAGAAGGAATGAGAAGTATTCTCTGCTTCTATCCTCATTTTAGCTGGATAAATGAAAAAATAATGTGTTTACTTAAATTTAGTAACCATTTCACCGACATCTCCTTGTATCCAGTTTCATTCAATCAGTTGCCATTACTATTGAATTATATCACAAAAATAGAGGAGCATTTGAAATTCCACCCACCCATGTTTGTTAATCAGACTGATCAGTTTATTCATGTTTAGGTTCTCAGCCTAAGTTTTTCTGTGTGCGTTCTTGTTTTTGGTACGTGGCTATCAAAGTATTCTGTACATAGTTGTCATTTTTTAAAAAATAGGAAAAGAGATAAATCTATTTACAATCTATCTGCCCATCTATTCATGCATAAGTAAAGGTTATTTATGTTTTGATTATGCCTTTCTCTCATGACTAAAGAGTAATCTTGTTTTGTTCTTTTTCATAGATATTTTCTTGAGTACATAAAGCAAAGCAAGTGTGGTGTTTACTCTTCAATTTTGGAAGAGACTCTCTATGTGCAGACACAGAGAGACATCACATTGCATAAATGAGTGAATTCTTTATTTTGTGGTTATGATCTTATAGCTGTTTTTCAGCTTGTATTTAATGGAATGTATGCACCTCTTCTCTTCAAAACAATTGTGTTGTCTTGGGCTGCTACTGCCTAGAATTCTGTAGAAATGCTTTATCGCGTGAAATGTTACCTTATTATAATTTTTTGTATTCTTCTGTCCACACTACTTAGTGTTTTCTTCTCCGGCTCCCCCTGAGGTTCATGGTTGGACAGTACACTGTGGTTCCTGCTTACCCCAGTCTCTGTTGTGAGTTGTATACATTTATAAGCATTAAATCAAATACTCACCTGTAAAACGTTCATTAAAATACACCTTCTCTACAATATTATTGGAAAGTCAAAATGGAATATTTCAAAAATTGAAATAATACAAAAATAAAAATACTATGATACAAAAATAAAAATACTGTAAAACCAAAATAAAACAAATATCCATGAGTTCATATTAGTATTAATACATGATCAAATAACAAATGGTGGAGAAGGGATAATGCCTCATTATATAAAAATATTACTATCTTTAGAACTCGCTACTCTGGAAGGTGAATCTTAATTCCCTACCCTTGAGTAGGGAATTAAGGGAATTGAGTAGGCTGGACAAAGTGACTTATTTCCAAAAGGTAATATATGAAAAGGGAAAAACAGAAGTAAATTTACTTTTGAGAATCTTGGCAGTAAGAACCTTAACCAAATGACAAAGATTAATATTACCACGAGAAATTTTGTTGATATCATGTACCCCTTGATATGATGTGATGAGAAGTGCACTGCACTTCTGTGGCATTCTTCCCCAAAATCTATAGCTGCAGTCTCATCATGAGAAAAACAGGAGGTAAAACCAAACGGAGGGACCTCACAATACCTGAACAGTTGTCTTAAAAACTGCCAAGGTCACAAAAAATTAGGTAAGATGAGGAACCGTCACAATTTGGAATGAAGCTAAGGAAAATGGTGACTAAATGAAATATGGTGTCCTGGCTTTCATCCTGGACCAAAAAAAAAAGGTGACATTAGTGGAAAACACGGTGAAATCTGAATTATGTCTGTAGTTTAGTTCATTGTAATGTACTAATGTTAATTGTTTGCTTTTGAGAAAAGTACAAATGGTTATGTAAAAATGTTAACATTAGGGGAAGTGTGGTGAAGGTTACACAGGAACTCTACTGTCTTTGCAACCTTTTTGTAAATCTAAAATTATCAAAATTAATGTTTATCAAAAAATAAAATATTATGAGTACCTCAAAACACTCCTCTCCGACTTATTTCTCATTCCCCACAAACGATGCACATTAAAATAACCTTGATCAACAAATGAGTGAATGTTGACATATTAGAATATGCTCTGATGTTACATAAATCCGAGGTGTTTGTTACATTCATTCATATTGTAAAAGTAGCATATGCTCATTATAAGTATCAGAAGAAATGAAATCACCCATATTTTGTTTTACCATCCAGGAATAACTACTCTTAACTGTTTATACTTAAAAATCACTTTACAAATGTATGGTTGGTATTTTATATAGCATTTGATTTATGCTGCATGTTTTATTTTATACCTGACTTTTTTTTTTCATTTAGAAATGTGTTATTACACCATTCTCGGAGAAAGTGACTTTTAAGATTGTGTAAGCAAACCTGCTATGTCAAATAGGATTTCCAATTATTGTCTTCCAGCTCCATAGGTCCTACAACCCTCTATCATACCCCATTTGAGTTAGTGGGATTCTGTCCTTCCAGTTGTTAGCAAAAATGGTACTCATCCTTGACAACTCTTGTTTCTCTTCCACCCACATTTAATCTATCAAGACATTGTGTTGATTCTACCTTTAAAATATATCCAGAATCCAACTACTTCTCACTTACTCTTTTACCCCTCAGGTCCAAGCTCATCATCTTTCCCTTTTGTAACTGTTTGATTTTTACGAATGTAACACAGTTTATTCTCAATGTAATAGTCTGAGTGATTGTGTTAACAAAAATTCATGTCTTTCCTCCACTCAAAAATTTTCCTTGGCCTATCTTACCACTCAGAGTAAAACCGAAGTCCTTACTATGCTCTGACATTCTTTCTGATTTTTTTTTCTGATTTCATTGTCTAGCTTAGTGTTGGGCTATTTCTTATTTAGAGGGAATCTGAGACAGTTTTCATTTCTGTTTTACTGTGGAACATTCCATCTTGTGGAAAGTGATGTGAAAATTACCTTTCAATATATTATTTCCAAGATGTCCTTGTGCATGGAATTAGTTGCACAGATTGTGGGAAGTTTTGTAGAGGGAACTTGACTTTGCTCTGAGAAAGGACAGTGTGTATAAAACAGAGTTATGCAAGTATAAAGTATACCTTGGTAGTAGGATCTTGCAGAAGAAACAAGACTTTGAAGTGGTGGACCATAATAGGAGAAAAAGTTAGCCCTAAATAGGATTTTCCAGGAAAGAATGGCAGAGTACCTAATACAATATTCTTAGAAAATATACACCAAAAGTTTGTTTCAGGAATGCAACAATGATTTTAAATTTTCTCTTTTTTTCTGAAATCAAGAGAACTGAAATAAGACAAATACGATGTTTTAATAAGTGAATAACCATAAGCCAAAGTCCTTAAGTCAACCTTTTAGTTTCTAATATACATGGAAACTTAACCGAAAGGGTTTTGAAAGCTACTTCATAAATTCTCTCCGTTATGAATCTATATTTTGCTGCTTTTATTACCTCATAAATTCTGGAGAATGATTTATATAATAATGAGTGTCCTTGTCTCTCCATTGCTGATCAAGAGAGCAATAAACCAGTTTTTATATAAAAGTTATAATATTTATTCTGCTACTGTCTGAAGTAGTTTTTACTTGAGTTATGTCAAATTTCCACTCTTAGGAAGGTTTTCGATTTTACATTTGGAAAAAAAGTGATACTGTAAAATGCCGTTTGATGAAAAATACCTAATATATTGATTTTGTTTCACATAAGGAATCAAAATAAATGTGCTTCAGGCAAAAGAGTCTATCTACAGACACGCATAAAGTAAACACAACTCTTGGAGGGATCATTATGTTAAAGCAGTGTGTTTTATTACCTTTCTACTCAAGGGGGTCAGGGGACCAGCGCATCTTTTTAAATGAGTAATTGCCATTTAAACGTGCATTTGAAATCAAGTGTCTTTCAAAAAAGTGTGAGATTTCACCCTGTATGCTAGAAAAAGGCAATTTACCTCCTAAGGTTAGATTAGAAAATCTATTCTTTCTCCCTTTGCCCACTTAAGGATGCTGCTAGCAATGTGTTTTCTCGCATATGGATAATGACTCTCTCTCACAATTTAACCTGCAGAATTGCTAGTCATACTTAGCTTTCAGCTCCATCTGCACCGTAGCTATCCTGCCCTGCTTCAAGTCCAGGAAGCAGAACAGCTCAAGAACAGAGGGCAGCAGCTAGTTTATGCTGCTTAGGGGGAGAGGGACTCTGTGTGTCCTGTTTGGTTAGCACAGAAGGCTGGCAGAACAGAGCATATCCTTCCCACTTGAACTTGCAGAAGGAAAAAGGATCTCGAAGGTCATTAAGGTACTTCTAAACCTAAACACTCCAAAAAAAAAAAAAAAATTGGAGTCAATTTCAGAGTAACTTTTACAAGTCGTAAACTTTGTAATTAATATAATTTTTAGTACTTTAAGAAAAATACTGTAAAGTTATTTAAAAATGACTTATAGTCTCCTCATCTGTAAAAGTTATTTTAATTTGATTTGATTTATGGAAATGTGATTAGCAGACAATCTTTAGATGCTTAAGTGTGTCTATAAAGAATATGTACTCCAATCCTATTCTTTCTGTTGAGTTACTCCTAAACAACACAAAATAAGCATTTCGTTTTGTTTTGTTTCATTAAAAAAAATGTTCTTAGAGAGTTTGTAGTTCCCTTTAATAGCCCAATCTTTTTCTAACTTTACGAATTTCTTTTCACTTTGGCTGTTAACTACCCTCTCTCCCACCTACTTTTTCTTTTGCAACACTACAGCAAAATTGAGGTTAGCTAGTAGCATACTGTTAGTCATTAATTCTGCTTTTAAATAACTGAATGGTTATATGTTATTTCCAGTCTCCTTTTTGATTCATGGGTATTTATCTAGGGATTATTAATAGAGAGAATATAGGAATGATTATGACAGAAGATGTTCCTATGCTCAAAATGTCGCTCTTCAAAATCAGAAGCCTCTTGAAGGATATAAGCAAATGTTACAGAAAACATGCTTCAAATGTCAAGAAAACAATATACAAAGCAAAACTCTTAACAGCAATAAATGGATCATTAAAAAACTTTCCCTGCAGGTGGATATGATTAAAAATAAATTGATTTCTAACAGTTTTTGTTTTCCACATTTTCAATTTCATGGATGTTATTTTTGGCCTAATATTTTAGATAAAATAATAATCACCTTGAAAGCTTTTTTTCTTCCACAGTTTATAACCTTTAGTATTCATAAGTATGGCAGGAACAGTAATTGACAAATGCTTTATGTTTATGTGCATGTGTTAGTCTGTATGTTTGTGTGTATTTAATTACTACTGTTATCCAGAGTACTTAGGCAAATTCTGTATTCTTCGTATATGATTATATAATGTTCTAAAAACATTCACTTTTTTAAACTATAAAAGTCATATTCAGAAGATTTACGTATAAATTTATATCTCTTCTGCCAAAAAATTATACAACCATAGGGAAAAAATGAAACACAGTTTTTCCTTTTAATCAAAGATGATTTTTAAGCTTGCAAAACTATCAGCAAAAACTCACATATTTGTACCTAAAGAGATGTTAGATTGAAGGAAAACTTGTAATTGTCTAACCTGATTATTTTTATGATTTACATTGAAGAAAAACAATAATAATTTTTAACTTCGTTATATTTTTATGATTTTAAGTAATTGCTTATGTAGGTATTGCAATTCTGAAAGGACAAAATAGTCATGGATGTCAAACATCTAAGATCTTTTTGAGGTACTTGTCCTGTCTTGAAATACACAAGAATTTATAGTGCTTAGAAAAATGAAAATGCATTATTCAGTTTTTATTGTACTCTGGCTTTTGGGGATCAAAAAGCAGAAAATAGTACAATAAGACTACATTTCATTATCCTGGGATTTGTATGTATTAGAAAGAACACTTTCATTAATTACACTTGATATTTTTATAGTTTATATACTATTTATATATGTTTCCTGTAGGGATGTTAGAAAACTTTTCAAAGTGTAGTCTAGATAGGATTTTACAGCTTTCTGTAAAAGGAAAACAAATTGTTTCTTTGAGGCCATCAAAATTATTACTTTTCTTTCTATTTCACAATTGCTTAAGGTTGCAAACCAGTAGGACTTCTTTCCTCTGTGTTTTTTAAATGCAATGTAGATCTGATACAAATGTCCAAACTCAGGTACTTTTGAACTATAGCACAACTGTTATTCTATACCTGCACTAAGCAAATTGCCTAGTCTAGAAAGTGTGAATAGGGCGGTATATGTACACAAATAGAAGAAGAAAAAGAAGCTTAAACATCTTCTTTTTTCTTTTGCACCGTATCTTTGGGAACTTTAACATAGCTCTCTCATTGGAACCAATTTGTAGGTATGATTAACTGCTAACAAGTACTTGAGATATTCTTAATTCAATTATCTTGGATGAGGTCCAAAGTAAACTGGCCTAACATCTATAATCAGTGTTACAATCGTGAGATGTCAGAGTATAGTATATGTGTTTTCAAGGCATAGTAATTAAATATGGAGACATAAGGCTGAAAGGAGTGACTTGCTTTATAACACTATATATTACAGTCCCTTTGAAAAGTAAGCAGACCACTGCCCTTATCACTGCAGGGACAAATTCAGTTGTGATGGTAATTTACACCTCATAACTTTCTTTTATGACATCCATCCATCATCAACAGGAAGTCTGTACACAGTCTAAGGAAGTTTCCCAGATATGACATTCTGGGTAGGGCTCCCAGTCTCCTGAAGAGAGTAATGCAACCAATGGTCACGGGAACCACTTCACCTTAACAGCTGCTGAGTCGGCCCTACATAACCCTCAACGTCCAGGATGCTATGGATTTTTAAAACATTTCAATCATTTTCATCAGCAAAAGGAAAACCAACAAAGCTAACAGTAGCAATAGTCAAGGGATCCTCCATCATCATTAAGACTGTGGCTTAAGTTTTCTTGGATCAGTTATTGTATAACCTTGTCAGTCAAGCAACTATAGGATGACTTACAGGATGACAGGTGTAGGATGGTTTTCAAAAGTCGCATTGAGAGCTCCATTTTATGCACTACTAAACTGTTGGATACTGTTAGTAGATAATGGGAAGATTCCATAGTAGATGAAGTGGAAAGGTTAATTAGCCCATTGTGATTTTAGGAGTATCTGTCTACCAACATCAGTAGACATCTGATTTTTCTTTGTTGTTTCCCTAGCTCCAAGGTGGTAAAATAATGCTAACAAGACAATTTATTCAAATTACTTGGAGACATTATACACAAAAATAAATTTGTGGCACGTATTAGTCTGCTTGGGCTGCCAAAACAAAATACCACACACTGGGTGGCTTAAACAGCAGATATGTATTTCTCACAACTGTGGCAGCTGAGAAATCCAAGATCAAAGTGCCAGATAATTCAGTTCCTGGTGAGGGCTCTCTTCCTGGCTTGTAGATGGGCACCTTCTTAATATCCTTATGTGGTGGAGTAAAAGTACTCTCATGCCTTTTTCTTTTCTTATAAGGACACTAGACCTATCAGATTAGAGCCCTATCCTTATGACCTTGTTTAACCTTTATCATCTCCTCAGAGGCCCTATATACAAATATAGTCTTGTTGGGGGTTAGGACTTCAACATATGAATCTTGAGGAGACACAACCATTTAGTCCATAACAGTATATAAATAATAAGATTGATATATTCTATTGCACTTCTTAAGAACTTTACAACTTCAGCAAGTGGAATCTTTGGCAATGATGACTGATTTGACTCTTGTCTATGTTTTTGTTTTTTTTTTCCCTAATTTAACGTCCACTTAGAGGATTAGCTCTGCCCAATGCTATGGGATCATTCTTGTTCTGAAACTAGGAACAGCTAAAGACCCCATGCTAGTTAATGCTTAGTCTGAGTGTCTGTAGTTTTTGCTCTGAATTTCTACTCAAGCTCTACGAGTGAGGCTCCTTCCTCTTATCTGGTCCAGTTCTTTATGTGAACTCAAGTAACTAGATCCTGGTCTTATCTATTCAGTGCTGTAATACATACCTTCAGGGTGGCTGATTTACTCAGCCACTCAAACCCATTGTGGGATAGGGGTACACAGGTGAGCAAGTGCACGAGCTGGGGCAAGTGCCTTTGGGTGCTGGCAGGAATGAACCCTGTACCGGCCTGCGACAATATCTAGGGTTGTCCATGACCTCTGGAGCCCCAGAGGGTGTGTGGTACAAACAATTCTCTTTTAGCTTTGCCACTGCACACAGCTTAAGCGTTAAACACTCAGTGAAGACTCAGTGTGACAGACTTTTTGGGTTCCCGCACCCAGTGTGTCCCGAATTCTTGTCCAGAATCCAGGAAGAATCAGGTCACACAAATGGATTGAAGGGTGGTGTATGCAGAGAGTTTTATTGAGCAATGGCAGTGACTCTTAATAGGATGGGGAGCTGGAAAGGGGATGGAGCAAGAAGATAATCTTCCCCTGGAGTTTGGCTGGGGATGAACCATAGTCCCCAATGTTCAGCTGCCTCTTCTCCTCTCAATGTTCAGATGCTTCTTCTCTCCTTCTCTGCCGAGCCACTCTGCCCCTTTGCCAGGGGAGCTTGGGGTTTTTATGGGTACAGGGCAAGGTGTGTGGAGGGCCAGGGTGGTTTTGGAAAAGGTATCTTTTGGTCGGGACAACAGGAATGCATATTTTTATTTAGGGCTGTGAGTCCAGGCTTGAGGGTGGAGCCCTCACCAGTGACCTCGCCCTCTTCTACCCAGTATTTCCCTGCATCCTGTCCTTATCATCACGAAATATGAGACTTAAGAAAGGGTAAGATTATTGAAACTTATATAGGATCAGAGCTACAGAAAGAACAGGGGTTTGGGGCTTCTGACGGGTGGTGGCGACGCAAGTTATGGGAGGGTAATGGGGGAAGTGTATGGGTGAACAAAGGTTGTCTTATGATGCAGCTAAAGTCTCTCAGGTAATAAAAGTTTTCTAGGAACAACCCTAAGAAGAATAGGTGATAGCCTGT
Source organism: Homo sapiens (assembly GCF_000001405.40). Taxonomy (NCBI): domain Eukaryota; kingdom Metazoa; phylum Chordata; class Mammalia; order Primates; family Hominidae; genus Homo; species Homo sapiens. The sequence goes on from NC_000006.12 coordinate 123,843,901, forward strand.
GACAAAGTCCGGGCATGATTTTGACCTCGATCTCTGCTCCTGTGATACACTCTTCCCTGGTTCATGAGATTCCCGTAATGGGGATTAATGACAAAATGACAGATAAGTTCCGCTTTGGAGGTTCTGTCATCAGGTAGGTAAGAGAACTTATGAGAAGGCCTCTGCCCTGCCCTTTTGGGGAGAAAGATGGGTGAGAGACAGGAGGGCAAGAGAAGGTCGGAGAAGCTTTGGTTCTCCTTTAATTCAAAGCACTCAGCATGCCAAAGTGCCATACTTTGCAGTGTCATTCTCTGAACCCCAACCGTGTCCTAAAGATAAAGAGGAGTTAGATAAGTGTTGGGAGGAAAGCGATTCTGGCAGAGGGAACCAGACGTACAGAGCATTTTGAAGAAGGTAGTGTTTAGCTAAAGCATAGATTATGAGAGAGGAATTAGTTTTACTTTGTTTTCACTAACATTTTTCAGGTATTGGAATTTAGATATTCAATCCCATTTTTGTAGGTTTATTTCCTTCTGCTCCCTGCCTCTATTGCTCACATCCCCTTTAACTGCTGACATCCCCTTTAAATAGCATCCCCTTTAACCAAATCTCTGTTACTCGTCTCCCCTTAATGATCTCTTAGTAGCTAACCTATACACATGTTTTCTGACCAGATGAAATAACTTTCAGGCCATCTAAACTTCAGTTCACACCAGGACAGATCTATGAGGAAGAGGAGGCAGAGCCTAATCATACTACATGGATACATATGTGCTTCTTCACAAATGCTGTTGTCTAAAGAAAGTAACCAATCCAGATTGATGGCAGAGTTTATCTTACCATCTGATTTAAATCCTGCTGTACAAGGCTAACAGATGTGACAATTCCTGAGGTCCTATTTTATGTTCCTTCTACATCACCATATGGCAACCATATTTATATGGTCAGTATTAGACATATACTCTTCATCAAGAATTATTTCCAATTTAGAATGATTTGAGGAGATTTGCTATTGTATGCAGGCCTATGGCTAAATCTCAACAAGTAAAGCCAAACAAAATTACTTAGTTTGAGTGACAAAGGGAATACTGAACAAAAGAATTTAACATTATCTGAGAAGAAATTTGTTTTAAGATGTTAATTGGAAAACAACCTTAAACACCAATTGAACAGAAGTGTTTTGACTTTTCAAGGGGTCATTGTAGACTTTTGAGACAAATAGATGTTGAAGTGCAATATTCTGATTATAGGTTTATACGCTTGGAGTGAATCAATATATGTACTTCTATTTGCTGGTAGCTTGCTACACTTCTGAATTAGAGTACAAATACTATAAAATGTGATATCTTCTATGGCAAAGAACAGTTTAATAATATGAAGAATCCAGTCATCTGCAATAGTTTAAAAATGGCATAGAATTCAAATAGCTCACAAGTCTTTTGACATAAATAAAATGTAATAACTTTCAAACATTTCATAGGTAGACATGCAGTCATCAAAAAGAATAATACAAAAGTGACATGACAAATAGAGATTTAACAATTTTTGCTCATGTGATGCGTTTTCCTTTTATACTTAACACCAAATCCTGTGTTATCACAAGTGAATTGTATAATTTGGGTTTCTCTTCACCTTTCTGATTTTTATTATACAGTTGACTCATGAACAACACAAATTTGAACTCTGTGGGCCCACCCATAATCAGGTTTTTTCAGCCAAATGTGGATTGCAAATACAGTATTTTCTGGATGTGAAATCCATGTAATAAGGAAGGCTGACTTTTATATATGTGGGTTTTGTAGGTCCGACTGTAGGACTTCAGTGAGTCTGCATGGATTTTGGTATACACAGGAGGTCCTGGAACTAATCCCCCACGGATACTGAGTAATGACTGTATACCTTATATTTCTGATAGTTACAGAGAAGAGAAAACCAAGATCAGTGATGCTAAAGCGTTCCAAGTGAAAATGCCAGTTGGACAAACTTGTAGGAAATTTGAGTTTCTATTATTCATCTAACATATATACAAATTACTTCCCTTTTTTTCTTCCAGCATCTTTAAATACTCTATATTTTTATTACATGAACACTTTACCGGGTCTCTCTGACTCATCCCAATCTCTCTTTTCTTTGAATTCTACCCATTCTAATTTTATAACTATGCTTTTGGAAGCTTACATTTTTATATGAATGTTTTATATGCATCTTCTTTTTCTAACCATGCAGGAGCTATATTTTTGCCCTATTAAAGTGTTAAACTTGGAGCAGCACTCAGTGTGTATATGCTGAGTCGTTATTAGGCTTTCAACCCTATCATTTCTAGGTGTGTGTAAACCTCAATGTGGTAGGAAAGTTTGGGAAGCTGGCCTGAATGAATGGCTTTTCTTACTTATTTAGTTAAGTCCTCATAGGCTAAGGATTTTTCCCCTTCCTGCCACTCCAAATAGGTTGTGCTTTTGCCTCAGTTCTTAAAAAGTGAACCCTGAACTTGCTTCTAGTCTTACCAGAACATTGAGCCAAGTAAAGGAGAGATGCAAATAGCTATGGGCTGTTTTTATTTAAAATCTCTACCCCATGGGTGTTTCTTGAAATTGGCTAGTCTAACTTGTAAACATCTGTTGCTTAGACTTCTTAGTCTTTGCAGTTGATGTTTTGCATTTTAGAGGTGATATTATCTCAGTTGTGATGAACTAAGTGGGATGTTAATAGGAAGAAAAAATGATTTTTATAGCAACATTGCATCAAGTAAAACTAGGTTGATAGAGAATGTGAGAACAGTAAAATTCTTCAGATAAAAGAAATAGCAAGCAGTATATGCACGTGGTCTTCTTGTCATTTCAATATTCTTCAAACCCAGGCTTCCTGATGAGGGCGCTAATGAAGAATACTGTTGGAATTATCTTTTCTAAAGGCATTTTCATTCTATTACCACCCCCCACGCCACCGCCACACACACGCACGCGCGCACACACACACACACACATAACACATGTCTCTTATTTCCTCTTTCATTCACAAATATCCACTCTATTCCAGGCACTGTACTGGAGATGGAGATAAACGGATGAACATGTCCTTATCGCACATTCAGTCCAGTACTATGTAAGATGGCTAAGAGCAGAGGAAAATTGTTGACTAGGAATACATTCTTTATTTCAGAATTTTATGTCTTGGTTGAAAGGCTAATAAATTCTAAGTGTGCTTTTATCTCTTCCTAAATCAGCCTGTGTCATCTGTCAATACATACATATCCACAGTAGTGAACACGTGTATATTTTTAATGAACATGTACCAAAGGAAACATATTCTGCCATCTCTGAAGACATTTTTATCACAAGCTGACTTTGGGGAATTCTGAATATATGCAGTGCCAATATCCTGAAAGGTGGTGGAAAGGGATTAGATCTTATAGCAGTAATGGCTTCATTTTCCTTAGCTCATATTAAATCTTTCAGCCAAACAGAAAAAAAAGTAACATATACAAATAATTGTATTGCTCAGCAAAGGGATCTGAAGGATGCTGTATTTTGATTCATCAAACCAAGTGGCATGTATCCCGGCGGATGGAACTTTCTGCTTGGAATTAGAAGACTAGTGTTCTGAGGCCTTTGGGAAGAAAAGAAGAAGAAATGGAAGATGGATGTCTTATTCTACTGCTTATTATTATGAACTTGAGTATATTACATAACATTTGAAGGATTTGTTTCCTTTTCTTTAAGACGATTAAAATAAATACCAGTTTTGTCTCATGAGGATCCCATTTGTGAGAATAACTCATAAACAGATGAGAATGATACAGCTCTATCTTTGTTTTTAACTATTGGCCAAATATTACCTAAAACTTTTCATTTTAATTTTAAAATTGCTGTATCTAAAATCCAGGCCTATCAGTCTGAAGTGGTGAAACTTTATACTGGCTGCAGTTTATAATTACCTAAAAAATCTTAAAAAAATGCTGTGGCCTTGGTAATTGGGATGGTACGGAGCTTGAGAATCTTCTGTCTTTAAATCTCTCCTTGGGATCCACTGTGCAGTCAGGTTGAAAATTGTTGGTTTAAAGTCAAGTACTTCAAACATGAGCACCTTTATATATCAAGCAGCAGCGTTCTAGCTCCTAGAGCAGTAAATGCTATCTGTAGCTAAGAATTAAATAGGAGATATTCTTTATCGAAAAGCCATCATAAAGGTGGACACTGTTAAGTGAGGAAAGTGGAAATACTTCCTCAAAGAGTATGACACTATAGTGACTAAACTGTATACATTTACTGTTATCGTGTGGCTGAAAGACAAAAGATGCTTTAGAAACCTGTACTGGAGCCTAGAGCTTTGATTGATAAATAGCCATACCCAGCAATGAGAGACCAAGGATGAAGGGATGAAGAATCTGTAGACCACTGCCAACTACCGTATGATTCTAAAGTGTGAATATTTGCATGCTACCTGATATGGTTTAGCTGTGTCCCCACCCAAATCTCATCTTGAATTGTAGTTTCCATAATCCCCATGTGTCGTGGGAGGGACCCGGTAGGAGGTAATTGAATAATGGAGATGGTTGTCCTCATGCTGGTCTCATAATAGTCAGTGAGTTCTCACAAGATCTGATGGTTTTATAAGGGACTTTTCACCCTTTGCTTGGAATTTCTCTCTCCTGCTGCCATGTGAAGAAGGAGATGTTTGCTTCCCCTTCCACCACAATTGTAAGTTGTACAGGCCTGTGCAACTGTGAGTCAATTCAACCTCTTTCCTTTATAATTTACCCAGACTTAGGCAGTTCATTATAGCAGTGTGAGAATGGACTGATACACTGCCACAGTCTGTTTAAGGACTGGGGATGATTTGACTGAGCCAAAGGGTGTGTGCTTACTTTCAGAGTGCACCCGTACTTTAGAATAGACAGAATTCTGGGTCATTGGTGATATCTCTTTAATATATTTCATACCAGCATTCAGATTTGGAGAGAAAGAGCTGAAAAACACAGCATGTCTGCCAGTTTTAAAGAGTTCCCACTACTACATCCACAAAAGATAGAAAAGTTCTAGGACTTAGTGATATTTCTGCCAAATTATTTAAGCTAAACTTTAAAAATCATATGACATGGTCCTCCCTACTTAAAACATTTCTATAATTCTCAGTTTTCTATTGAATAAGCTATAAGCCCATTATCTTGACACTCAAAGCCTTTGGAGATTTTGGCAACCAGATTTCCCTTAACTTTGCTGTACTTGCTCCGGGAATCCTACACTGATCCTGATACTATATTAGTTTCTCTTTTGAACTCTTGTACTACTTTGTACAACTTTTAGATAAACTGATTCACTCATCTTTATATTATTTTCCGTCACTTTTAGTTATAATAGAATTAATACTAATAACAGCTGTCTTCTTTCAGAAGCTGACCTTGAGGTAATTCATGTAAAAATGATAGACGAGGAAGTGTTCCTAGGAAAAAACCAGTAGCAGAGTTGGGAAGTAGACATGGAATGGCAGGAAGCCAAGCAATGGTGAGAGATCCTGTAAAATCCCAGGAGGAGGTGGGTGTAATGTAACTTAGTTCTGCAAGGTAGCTCTGCAGATAGTCTGAGGCTCACCTTAGAGTCCCACTTAGGAAGCCAGGGGGATAGAGTCTTTGTACGTCCCTACCCCTGTTAGTCATTAGCTACAGGCAGAAGTCTGGGAGGTGGCATGAACTCCCTGCACTTTCCTATCTCTGTGGGTGTAGGCAAAGCAGTTTCGGCAGTCTGCAGGCAACTTTGCGACAAGGAGCTACAGAGGCTGGGGGTGGGTGCCAGTGTGCTTGTAGCTGGAGTGCAGGAAGCTGGTAAGGGGAGACAAGGTAATATGGGCAGGGTGGCCAAATATTCTTTTAACTTCTGTGTTAAATTACTTCTTGGATTGGAAGCTGCTTGGAAGCAGATATGTATCCCTAATTCTTATAATACCTTATCTAAAATATTAAAAATAATGCTTTCATAAGTATTCAGTGATTAGATGAGTCAGTGTTTATTATTATTTACAATTTTCTTTAAAAAAATTTTTTTGAGACATGGTTTCACTCTGTAACTCAGGCTGGTTTTTTTTTTTTGTTTGTTTGTTTTTTTTTTAACTTTCTGTGGAGATGAGGTCTCTCTTTGTTGCCCAGGCTGGTCTCCAACTCCTGGGCTTAAGCAGTCCTCCTGCCTCAGTCTTCCAAAATTCTGGGATTACAAGCGAGAGCCCGCATGCCGAGCTGCTTTTTTTCTTTAAATGTTTCTAACTGTAGAACATGTGCACTGATAATCCTTTGGGATGTGATCAGATCTCTCTCCTGGTGCTCATTTCAGAACATTCTCCTGAGCTCAAACAGCAATGATTGAGGAACCCCAAATTAGCTGTTACACAGAGAGCTGACCTAAGATACCTCAGAGTAGAAGGGACTGGATCACATTTCCCCGCCTAACTGGCTGATAACACTTGCAAGCTGCTGAAAAAAAAAAAAAATATATATATATATATACACACACACACACGTATATATTTTTTTCCCCTCCAAGCTAAGGGCTACTGGTGGGTCTACCAGTCAATGTTATCAACAAAGAGAAGCAGTTAGAATTGAGGCAATGAGTAATCCAACGACATTTTATCTATGTTCTTGTGGGAACAATTTTTATGTGTTTAGTAGGCTAATTTAGTAGAAGGTCTTCTTTACCAGAGTTCACTTCTAACTTTGTTTCACTTTGTAATTTTATTTTAAATGTAGTTTTAATTGACAAATAAACATTGCATTTATTTATTATGTACAACTTATTTTGAAATATGCAGTTGCTAAATTGAGCGAATGAACGTATGCATTACTTCACACGCTTATTTTTTTGTGGTGGGAACACATAAAATCTACTGTCTCAGCAATTTTCAGGAATACAGATTGTTATTAACTGTAGTCACCATGTTGTACAATAGGTTTCTTGAACTTAGTCCTCATAATGAAATTTCGTATCTTAGACCAACATCTCCTGAGCCACTGGTAACTACTCTCTATTTCTATTAGTTCAACTTTTTAGATTCCATATATAAGTGAGATCATGTGGTATTTGTTTTTCTGTGCCTGGCTTATTTCACTTAACAGTGTTCTCCAGTTACATATTTTTTTCGTAAATAATAGGATTTCTTTCTTTTTTAAGGCTGAATTGTATTCCATTGCGTATAGATATCATATTTTCTTTTTCCAGTCATCATCCATTGATGGACACTTAGGTTGATTCCATATTATGGCTATTGTGAATAGTGCTGCAGTGAACATGGAAGTGCAAATGTCTCTTCAACATACTGATTTCATTTCCTTTGGATATATACTCAGTAGGGGGATTGCTGGATCATATGGTGGTTCTATTTTTTTTTTTTTTTTTTTTTTTGAGACAGAGTCTGGCTCTGTCTCTCAGGCTGGAGTGCAATGGTGCAATCTCGGCTCACTACAACCTCCGCCTCCTAGGTTCAAGCAGTCCTCCTGCCTCAGCCTCCTGAGTAGCTGGGATTACAGGCATGCGCCACCATGCCTGGCTAAGTTTTGTATTTTTTAGTCAAGATGGGGTTTCACCATGTTGGCCAGGCTGGTCTTGAGCTCCTAACCTCAGGTGATTCTCCCACGTCAGCCTACCAAAGTGTTGAGATTACAGTTATGAGCCACCACGCCCAGCTGTTTTTTATTTTTTGAGGAGCTTTGATACTGTTTTCCATAATAGCCTTACTAATTTGCAGTACCAACAGTTTACAAGTGTTTCCTTGTCTCCACATCCTCACCAAGACTTGTTAGTTTCATCTTTTTTATTTATCTGATGATTAGTGATGTCGAGCTTTTTAAAAAAATATACTTGTTGGCCATTTGTACGTCATCTTTTGCGAAATGTCTATTCAAGCCCTTTGCCTATTTTTAAGTCTTGCGATAGAGTTCTTTGAGATCCTTATTTATTTTGGACATTAATTGATTTTCTGATGTATGGCTTGCCAATATTTTATCCCATTCCATAGACTGTCACTTCAGTCTGTTTATTTTTTAATTTTCATTTTATTTTTATTTTTTTTGCTGTGCAGAGATTTTGAAATTCACATAATCCATTTGTCTGTTTATACTTTTGTTGCTTATGCTTTTGGGATCATATCAAAAAAATTATTGCCCAGACCAGTGTCATGAAGCTTTAGCCATATGTTTTCTTCCAGAAGTTTTAGTTTCAGTTTTTACACTGAAGTTTTTACCTCATTTTGAATTGCTTTTTGTCCAATGTTATAAGGGTCCAATTTCATTTTTCTGCATGTGGACATCCACCAGTCCCAGCACCACTTATTGAAGCGACAACATGATCTTTTGATATATGTATACATTGTAGAATGGCTAAATCAAGTTAATTAACATATGCAGTACTTCACAAACTTCTTTTTTTTTGTGATGAGCACTTAAAATCTACTCTCTTAGCAAATTTCAAGTACACAGTATATTGCTATTGACTATTGCACCTCTGATATACAATAGGTCTCTTGAATTTTTTCTTCCTGTTCAACTGAAATTTTGCATCCTTCAGCTAACACCTTCCCAGTCTCCCCAACCTCCACTGTTTTACTCTCTAACTACTACATGATCCAGCAATCCCCTTAACTGAGTATATATTCAAAGGAAATAAAATCAGTATGTTGGAGGGATATCTGCAGTCCTGTGTTCATTGCAGCATTATTCACAATAGCCATAATGTGGAATTAACCTAAGTGCCCATCAATGGATGATGACTGGATAAAGAAAACGTGGAAAATACTATTCAGCCTTTAAAAAGAAGGAAATCCTATCATTTGCAACAACATAGATGAACGTGGAGAACATTATGTTATGTAAAATAGGCCAGGCACAGAAAGACAGATACTATATAATCTCACTTATATGTGGAAATCAAATTCTTCTTATCCCTTCCTGAACTTTACTATAAACACACATTGCCACAGAAAATCCAAAAAGAGGTGTTGTTGTGTAGAGTAGATGTGGTGCTCCGTGGAAATCTTTGGAATCAAGAGAATAAGGCAAATATGTGCTATTATGTGGCATTAATTAAATGTTTCTAAATGTTGTACCATGTTTTACAGATGCTAGTGTGATAGCCCCAAGCATTCTGTAGACTTTATCATCATGTTGAGTATCATCATTGATGTTTCCTAAATAAGCACTATGATTCAGAGTCCTCATGTCTTGATACTGTGTGCCACAGAGTACAGTAAAGATATATGTTTTAATGTGAAGAGCAAGAATCTTTTTTTGGATCAGTTTCCTATAACTGTTTAGCTTTATCTTGGAGGAAAAAAATGACTTGTATTATGACAGTAGAAATTTAGTAATTACCCCTAAGAAAAAAGATCTTTCTTCTTTCACCTTAAGCTTACTCAGTGTAAGTGGATAAATGCCAAAGTTCTGTAAAGTGCAATGCATTTTCTATACATAATTCACAAATCTACAATAGAAAAATTGAATGGTCTCTTTGGCGTGCAGCCCAAGTAGACAGTGAAAACCTATGGGAAATGTAATATTAATAAAAAAGCAGAGAATTAGACCTGACATTTCGGTCATTCATTCTACAAACATTTATTATATTATAATGAAATATTAGTTATTGCATTATCAGATAAGCAGAAACAAAGCACTGTGTTAGAAACACTAGCCTTTTCATTGTATTTATGAAAACATAAGAAAAAAAGAAATACAAGTGACATTCAGGTACATGGAGTAATGACAAAAAGGAGGAGAATATTCAGGAGGAATATTCAGGAGGAATGACAAAAAGGGGGGATGATATAGAAAAATCAGACTAGCAAAATAATTCATTTATGTGATTTCTAATATTTATCTGCAGTTTACATTTGAATGAAATTGTAAAAGATAAATTTCCTTTTTTTTTTTTTTGAGATAGAATTTCACTCTTGTTGCCCAAGCTGGAGTGCAGTGGCGCTATCTCAGCTCACTGCAACCTCCACCTCCTGGGTTCAAGCAATTCTCCTGCCTCAGCCTCCTGAGTAGCTGGGACTACAGGTGCCCACCACCACACCCGGCTAATTTTGGTATTTTTAGTTGAGACGGGGTTTCACCATGTTGGTCAGGCTGGTCTTGAACTCCTGACCTCAGGTGCTCCGCCTGCCTTGGCCTCCCAAAGTGCAGGGATTACAGGCATGAGCCACCACACCCGCCCGATAAATTTTCTTTCCTTACTCATATATTCCTCTTAGTACAAGGTAAAGGGTTTAAAGATGAACCATGAGGGAAATTTAATTTCAAAGATATATGGGAATCGGTGCTTTCAAAACAAAATTTGAAATATACTTTGTTATGCCTTTTTCATGCTGTACAAAATCCATCATTTATAAAGATACTGATTCTGTCAGTGCCTCTTTTCAACACAGGACATAAGGCAGAGCAATCAAAAGACATTTTAATTTTTAAAATGCACTCATCTGCTTTTCCATTGCCTTTGGTAGCTTATACAATTTTAGAACATATGCTGCATGCCAAGTTGTCTGGCTTTATCTTATCTGTAGAGGAAAAATGTCACCACGATAATGTTTGACTGTTTGCTGGAAATGGAGATTTTCCATGAATCAAACTTATTATGGGTATTAAAACATTAACAATTTTTATTATTAGTTAAATAATACATTAATGCTACACTTAAGTACTTTTATATGCCAGGTGCTGTGCCAAATGTTTCACATACGTTATTACATTTTATCTTCCAAGCAACCCTACAAAGTTCTCATCAATATCCAAATTTACAGACAAGTAAGATTAGCCTTAGAGTACATAAGTAACTTGTGCAAGGCCCTTCATCTTAATTGAGAAGAGCTCAAGGCCCAAGCAGGAAGGTGAAGCTCTGTAGTCTGGAGGGTGGGTGCCCTCACTGAACTTTTCTGTGATGGAATCAGAAGGTCATTAACTTTATTAGGTCTTCAGGTTTTTCCTAGAAGGATGCTGAACACTGAGGTGGATCTAAAGGAACTTTGGTCTTCTGCGTCTTTCCTTGGCTGAGACAGGACACCAGTGACTATTCTTTTTCTCCTGGCATTATCACTGAAATGAAATGATTCTCTTCACTGTCTTTGGAGCAGCATTCATACCTCTACTCTGTCCGAATGTCATTATATTCTAATGTCAAAGTCAGTTGGACAGCTATGAGTTTGAAAAGTGATAAATAAAATAGCATACAAGAAAATAGTATAAATGTATTCCTTTACATAAACAGATTTAATATAATATATGAAATTTGCATTGTTGGAAATCAGTTCTTTGCCATGGGTTTTAAATTTATCGCATTTATGAATTTTCCTAATGGAATTTCATCTCTAATTTTTATAAATTAAAATATTGTGAACAAATATTATTATCCTTCTGTTGCAATACATATGACTGAGGCAAACAGTGAAAAATATTCTTGGCTGTTTTAAGTCTGACATTTAGAACCCGGGTGGCACATAAAAAAATACTGTCAATGTGACATCATATTTCCCACTGATTCCGGAAACTAATTTAAATAGCAAACACTTAAACTTGTATTTTATATGAATGTCATTTTAAGAAGACTTTGATTATTGCAAATTGACCCAGAAGTGATGAGTGTAAAGAGATATTATCTAGTACTGATTCTTTGTGGTTGGGTGTCTCCATACTTGTCAGAGCACCATATTTGCCACCCAGCTTTGTTGCCAGACTATTATAGACCAGCCACGGTTACTGCAGTTTTCTGTCAGCCACCCTTATGTGCTGCACATGCCATGTCTGGGGATAATGGAAATGAGACAGATATGCTGGTGTTTTTGCATTAAGGAGGCAGTTCCTGAGTGACAAGGCTATTTGTGTATCCTGCATATAAAAATTGCCTCACAATGTCTGAGTTCACATGGATTCACCATAGAAAACTTGCATAAATGCCAGAAAATTAATTGCACTGCTGAGACGTATGGTAGAACTATTAAAATGATGGCTATGTTTTGAGGAATACTAGGTTGGCCTTATTACTTGTACCCTGCAGGGTGTAAATGCAGTTTTAGCAATTATCAGGGTGATATCATTTTGAAGTTTACAATTAAAAGCACTGTACCCTCCCACAATATCTTTTAAGATTTTATAGTTTCAAATTATCCATAGTTTAAAAACACCAAACTGGGAATAATGGTTAAGATGTTGCCTATATCCTTGATTTCTTTTGATTTCTTACTTTTTCACTTATCATAATGAGCTGTCAAATTTGTATGGCCTGTTTATTTTAGACCTTGCAATAAAACCCCTTCCTTTTTTTCCTCCTAGACATGTAGAACTAAAGAATGTTTGAGAATTAACTAGAAGTCTCATAACTTTCCTGACAGCTTTTTGATCCTATAACTCCAACATTATGGATATGTTAAGAATGTTATTGTTAAGCCGAGAAACTGTCTCGGAATATAGAATAAATTTTTATATTTAACCCTCAGTCTTGTAATATTTGTAATGTAACTTTGTGATTATTTGGTTTTCACTTATTCCTATTTTAGTGAACAGTAGTTAATAAAATGGCTTCTGAAATTATCATTTGATATACTGAAAATTATTAAAAGTAGCCATTGGCATATAAATGTTTCTCTTTCTTTGGATTTACTCTATATCGTAAAGTTGGTAAGAGCTTTAGTTGTTGCTTTTTGGAAAAAATGCCAATAAACAGAATCTTGCCTCAGGGATATCTAGTTTACAGATTACAACAAACTATTTAAAGATAAATTTGTAATGGATTGGAAGAAATGAAGTGTTTCTCACTAGGGGTTCTGTTGACCACCTATATCTGTGACACCCCATGTGCTTGTTAAACATTCAGATTTGGGGCTCCACCACAGCCCTACAGAATTTGTGGGAGGTGGAGCCGGCCTCTCTACTATAACAAACCCCCAGGTTGTTGAGCCTGCTCAAGTTTGAGAATTGCTTGTGTCTTTTAATACCTTCCTCTCCTAATTAAATCAATTTAATCACATAAACAATAAAAATAACTTTCTGATTGATTTCTGGTACCAAAAGCATACAAACAAACAACAACATAAGACACAGTGGGGTTGCTAATTTTCCTTTTCTGACTACAATAATCAAATCTCAATTTAATTGTTTATCTTTTTTTCTCATGTTTTTATTCCTCATAGTTGAAGTATAATACTCTTAATCTTTTATTTATTTTGATATGGAAGTATAATGGACTGCTTTAACAGTCTGGGAAAGCTATGAAACCTCTGTCCAGAAAAATGCCTGTCACATTTTTACATACAGTGTCAGGGGTTTATGGAACCCCTGGAGTTCATCATGGACCCTAAAATAAGAAACCCTGTACCAGCAGGACCTCATCATTTAAAACAAGCCTGTGATTTAGATTTTTTTTTTTTTTGCATATGTGATGATTATTGGACAGTGCGACCAGGGGCTTTTCAATGTGTATATTATTTACTTGGTAGTCTGTAATGGTTCCTAAGGGGCTATAAGCTTGTAAAGTTGTAATTATGGAATTAAAAACAATCTATACAGTTTTTCAGATGGTTCATAATAGCACCAATGTGTATAAACATGCAACTATGTTTTTTTACAGTTATATTTAAGCAATAGGCCATAATAATTGAAAATTTTTATTTTTTAAGTTCGTAGAAGATTAAACGTGGAGAAAAAATTATGTAAAACCAGAGCCCATTGTCTTACCTTATGTGATGTTAAGACAAAATTTTACATGAGAAGACACTTTTTATTCTCAGAAATTCATTTAATGCAGAACAAAACACATTTATTTAAGATAGCTCTTCTGGCAGTTCAACATGCTTAATAAAGACATGTTTAAATAACTGATTTCTTAGGAAAAAAGACCATACATATTGAAGCAGAACACTATCGATTGTATTCATCAGGCACACTGCAGGCCAGAAGATCAAAGCTTATGCTTTCATAATATCATTTAACCTCTCCAAAATGTAGTCAGCTGCCCCATATGTCAGTGCAATTGTATTTGAAGAGTGAGAATGACACAGATTATTGGCCTGACAAGGCTAACCTCCTAAACAAAGACATATCAGATTTATCTGTTGACTTGGAGAGATAGTGTGAATGTGTTCTTTCTTCTGCAGTTTAGAGAGTATATTAGGGAGATATGAAACTGATAAAACTATCCACTCCTGGGAAGAAAGGAATTTAAATATTTTCACATACTATGTGTGGAACTATCCTTCCTAACATTATTATTATTATTTTTTTTTTTTTGAGAGGGATACTCGCTCTGTCGCCCAGACTGGAGTGCAGTGGCGTGATCTCAGCTCACTGCAACCTCCGCGTCCCGGGTTCAAGCGATTCTCCTGCCTCAGCCTCCCAAGTAGTTGGGATTACAGGTGCCCACCACCACACCTGGCTAATTTTTGTATTTTTAGTAGAGACAGAGTTTCGTCATGTTAGTCAGGCTGGTCTCAAACTCCCGACCTCAGGTGATCTGCCCGCCTCGGCCTCCCAAAGTGCTGGGATTACAGGCGTGAGTCACTGTGCCCATCCTCTAACATTGTCTTTTTAATTTTCAAAACCTGTTTTATAGATGAGGAATTTGAGGGAGAGACTATATAGGGGAAAAATAATTTTTCCAAATACATATTTACATTTAAGGGACAGGATAACATGGAGTTATAGAGGAATACAGGATAGAGGTCATTAAAGCAGAAAGTACTGCCTTTAGAGCTATGCAAATAGTTCTTTCTTTAGTAGTAGAACTTGGATGAGATTCTAGGCTGATGGACTTCAGGTCAGACTG